>NC_000023.11:14864760-15167791 GCF_000001405.40 Homo sapiens
GTTTTTGATGATCTCAGTTGCACAAATATGTACATAAGTCACCACACTGCTGTAAGCAGGAGGAATAATGTATATATCACTTAATACTTCTTGACTTTCAAGAGAATATACACAAAATTTGGTATTCCAAATTGCATAATCTGATTTTGAAGGCTCTTGAGTACATTCTTCCTCAGATAAACAACATTCCTTTAGTCCCAATAAAACCATACCTAAATTTTCAATCTCCCCTGCCCACTGAATAGAGGAAAAGTTACCTGACACACTAACAACTTTGCCAGTTTGAGAAGAGATAAAGAAGAATGCTTTGACATGCCTCCATAAAATTAAAGGGCCATTAAGGACCCTTAGGCCATCCTTCATCTCATAGCCTAGTTTAAAACTCAAACGCATTTCAAATTTATTAGTACTGTGAAGGATTAGTAAAAAATATTCAAAAACATTATTCTTTTTATTTTTTTCTATCACAATGTAAGGGAGGTTAATTCCAGTTCTGAAATCTGACACACAGTTGCAACACATGATTTTTAAATGAGAGTTTTCTTCCTTTATGGTAAAAAATCCAGTGGACTTCTGAACAAATACTTTTGTTCCTCTGTCAAATACCATTCTTCTGACATGTAATATGGGTGTTTTTGTAGGCTCTTTATCTGCAAAATTTCCTTTAGACAACTGGAAAACAAGGACTTCCCCATTATAACACAAGAGCCTTTCTTGTTCGTTAGATGACATTGCTTGTTTGCTAGTCATTCCACAATATCAAGTCTTTGTGCTGATCTAATTTTCAAATGCAAATTGATTCCAGTTGATGTTTCTAAACCTAAAAAAGAAATGAGGAAAAACTGCCATGAAGTAGGAAGGGTTGAAAAGAAAACACGTTTCTGTTAGAGAACTACAACATAGGTAACTACACATTTTATTAAGTAAACATTTTAAGCTTTTTATACTATTTTGACAATATCATACTTATAAAAAAAATTCTAAATATTATTTCTGTAGACGCTTTAAAAAAGTTTGCTAAGAATTCAAATAACCATATCAAAAAAGATAACTGAATGTGTCAACGGCATATATTTAAAGCTTTAGATGCTCTATTAAAAGTGACTTCAGATATTTGTTCTGGCTCAGAAAATTGCTTAAGGGTTATACTTCTCTGTTTCAAACCTAACAACTCTAATGTGGTTTCCCACTCTCTGCCTTAGCCCCTTTAGAATGACAATTCAATTAGGGGTTTACTTGTCTTGCAACTCACTCTCCCCAAATACGTTGATTTTCAATTATACTTCTCCCACAGCCCAGGCAATTGGGCTTCTGCTTTCTAGAGACAGGAGCCTATACAGGCTCTAAGACAAAAAAGAAACCCCAGGAATAAAAATAGGAGATGCTGTAACAAGGCTTTAAAAAATCTCCATAGGATTAATAAAAATAAATCTTAGTTTACAAAGGCAATGCATTTGTATGCATTTGTATGACCCAACAAAGTCACTATTCTTATTCAAATTAGAAAAAATAGAGGATTAACATAATTTATTACAATGAACACAAGAATTAAATAATATCAATCATTCAAGCTTATTATATGGCAGGTACAATACATGCATTATTTAATTCTAATAACTATTGTCTTAAAATAAGTACCCTTATTATTCTACCTTTTAAGCAAGAAAGCCTTATTTTAAAGAAGATAAGAAAATTTTCCAAGGTTACAACACTAATCCACAGTTAACAGAAATCAGCAATGGTGCTAGTTTGGAAAAGGGGCCTTCTGACTCTGGAGTCTACACTTTTAACTACCACTCTGCCCTGGCATGCATTCCCTTATTCTGAACAAACTCATTGTAAGAAAGGTAACTTGAGAGAATTAGTAAAATAAAGGATAAAAGAATATCCTCAATATTGAACACATGTATAAAAAAAAGTTGTTGATATCTCTTTATTCAGTCTTCTATGAACTGCATACAAGAAATCCTAGCCAAAGCAATTAGGCAAGAGAAAGAAATAAAAGACATCCAAATTGGAAAGGAGAATGCAAAACTGTCCTTGTTTGCAGATGCCATAATCTTATACTGAGAAAACCCTAAAGACTCCACCAAAAAACTGTTAGAACTAATAAATTCAGTAAAGTCACAGGATACAAAATCAACATACAAAAATCAGCAGCATTTCTATTTGCTAAAAAGCGAACTATCTGAAAAAGAAATCAAGAAAACAATTCCATTTACAAAAGCTACAAAAAAAAATAAGATAACTAGAAATAAAGTTAACCAAAAAGGTCAATGATCTCTACAATGAAAACTATAATATACTGATGAAAAAAATTAAGATGACACAAACTAATGGAAAGATCCCATGCTCATGGATTGGTAGAATTAATACTGTTAAAATGGCCATACTACCCAAAGCAATCTATAGACTTAGTGCAATGTCTAGCAAAATATCAATGACATTCTTCACAGAAATAGAAAAAACAATCCTGAAATTCATATGGGACCACAAAAGACCCCTAATAGCCAAAGCAATACTGAGCAAAAAGAATGAACCTAAAAGCATCATACTACCTGACTTCAAAATATACTATAAAGCTACAGTAACTGAAACAGCATGGTACCGACATAAAAACAGACACATGGACAAATGGAACACAATGGAGAGGCCATAAATAAATTCATGCACCAACAACCAACTAATTTTTGACAAAGGTGCCAAGAACCACACATTGGGGAAAGGACAGTCTGTTCAATAAATGGTGGTGCTGGGAAACTGGATATCCATATGCAGAGACCAGACTCCTACCTCTCACCATATAAAAAATCAACTCAAAATGGATTAAAGGCTTAAATGTAAACCTGAAATTATTACACTACCAGAACAAAACATAGGGGAAACATTTTATGACATTGGGCTGGGCAAGGATTTTTTTAAATAAGATCTCAAAAGCACAGTCAACAAAAGCAAAAAGAGACAAATGAGATTACATCAAATTGAAAAGCTTTTGCCCAGCCAAAAAAAAAAAAAAAGTAAAGAGACAACCTACAAAATGTAAGAAAACATTTGCAAACTATACATCTGACAGGGGATTAATATCAGAATATATAAAGAACAGCAATATCCCAATATTTTAAATGGACAAAATAACTTAATAGACATATCTCAAAAGAAGACACACAAATGGTCAAAAGGTACACACACAAAAAAAATGCTCAATATCACTAATCATCAGGGAGACACAAATCAAAACCACAATGAGATACCACCTAATTTCAGTTTGAATGGCTATTATTAAAAAGACAAAGGATAACAAAGGTTGGCAAGCACGTGGAGAAAAAGGAACACTTACACACTGCTGGTAGGAAGGTAAATTAGTATAGCCACTATGGAAAACAGTATGGAAGTTCCTCAAAAAACTAAAAATAGTACTACCATATGATCCAGAATCCCACTACTGGGTCTATATCCAAAGGAATGAAATCAATGTCAAAGAGATGTCTGCACCCCCATGTTTATTCAGCACTATTTACAATAGCCAAAATATGGAATCAACCCAAGTGTCCAACAATGAATCAATGGATTAAAAAATTTGGTGTATATACCAATTTTTGGTGCATAGCGTGGAATACTATTAATACAGCCACAAAATTAAATGAAATCCTGTCATTTGTAACAACATGGGTGGACTTGGAAGACATCATGTTAAGTGAAATAAGCCAATCACAAAAAGACAAATACCGCATGATCTCACTAATAGCTGGAATCTAAAATTTTTTTTAAAAGAGTTGCTATCATAGAAGCAGAGAGTAGAATACTGGTTATCAGAGACTGGGGAAAGGAGAGAGGATGGGAGGATGGGGAGGGGTTGCTCAAAGGGTACAAAGCTACAATTAGATAAGAGGAATATGTTCTAGTGTCCTATTGCACAGTAGGGTAAAGATAGTTAACACTAAAGTGTAATTTATTACTTATTACAAAATAACTAGATGTTTTTGAATGTTCTTACCAGGAAGAAAGGATACATTCATGAGGGAAGGATACACTAAATACTCTGACTTGACCATTATACAATATATGTATGTATCAAAACATCAAATTGCACTCTCTAGATATATACAATTACAATGTGTCAATAAAAACAGGTAAATAAGAAAAAAAGAAGTCATTGGCTTACTGGTTTGTTGTTAGGCAATTAACAGAAAGATCTGGGACAATAGGCATCACAAAGTAGTTTCAGCTTCATCAGTAAAGAAGATAGGGTAGGTAAATCAAAGGTCTGGCTTGTACTTATGAAACTATGGTTTAGAGAAAATAAACATATTAGTTATATTCCATCAAAATGTATGAATAATAATGTATTTACCAAAGGTCCCATGTCAGGTTTCCTAGATTTCTAGAAAGGAAAAGCATGAAAATTACACATTCTGAGGTAAAGCTCTAAGAATTCATCATCTTTTACTACCTATTCAAAGTTTTTCAGATTTCTTAATATCAAAAACAAAAATCACCTCTGTATGAATTTTATTATTTTAATGTTAAATATCACAACTAATGTTTAATCAGTACAATGCTCTGGTTCACTTACCAATAACTTAAGTGTGATAGGAGTAAGGAAAACCTGATTATAAAATGGTCAGAATTTATGAAAGTTAGGCTCCTTACATTCTGTTCTTTAAATGTCATCATCAAGTTCCCTAAGTTAGAAACATCTATCTTCCAACTCTCTGTTCCAGTTGCCACTACTATAGTTCAGGCTGTGATCTCTCAGGCTGAGGTAAAAGCTTCTTAATTAGTCTTCCTTAATCTAATCTATCTTCCCTCCAATATATCAACTCATTTATGCTATTTAATACATCAGTTAATTGTTCTAAAACACACACTTGATCCTGTCACTGTCCACCCCCTAATCCAAAAGCTTACATGCCCCTTGCCTTTCTCAATAGACCTGTGATTCTTGAATTACTACCTGGAAAAATAGATGCTAAACACTGTGAATTGAACATATGAATGGTGTAGAGAAAAAAAGCTTGCAAATCATTGCTATGAAGCTTAGCATGGCATTCAAAACTCTGTTGTATAATCCTAATTCGACCTGCTTTCAATACGATCTCCAGGCAGAAAGCAAACTTATTCTCATGAACTTAAACTGATCTAAAAACATAAATGACTATTTATGACTATTGAGTGAAAAGTTTTTGCAAGACTTATTGAATTTACATATATGTGCATATCCACTATATTTTATACTGATGCAACATGTTTTCAATCTCATTTGTTTTTAATGTTTGCTATTTATTATATCTAAGTAATACTCAATCATTAAAATTTAATTCATTGCTAAAATGAATTTTAACTTTTTTCCCAGCTTTATTGAGGTGTAACTGCTAAGACAGTAGATATTAAGTATTGCTGCTGCAACATCTATTTTTAAAGTTCTTGGGATATGTTCATAAAACCTGCAGGCCATGAAATAACTGGCATTTAAAAAAAATAGAAACATATCTGGAAACAAATCAAACTAAGGTTCAATTTACAGGTTCTTAGTCCAATTATAAGCAACCCCTCACTATTTTAAACTCTGCTTATCAGGGCCCCAGGTTTACTATTCTAGCCTATGGGCTATTTGACTTTTTACTTATTAACATTATAACAGTGGCTGCAGAAGATACAGAAGTAACTAGGGGTGGCGGTGCGGGGCAGGGTGGCGGTGCGGGGCGGGGCGTGGAGACCAGAAAGTAGATTATTTATAAAATACTACATAATTAATTTGAGCTTTTCCTGTTCTATATTACCATACATCAAAGTTGACTATCTATTTTATACATAAAATTAAAACAGATGTGTGTGTATACTAGAAAAATGATAATATATACAAGCATATGCTAACATAAAAATAGTAGGCTGGCAATAAAATTATCATCCTCATCTACTCTTTACTGCCCCCCCTCTTAATAAATATGTTGTTCATTCTTTTTAAATGCTCATAAATCATTTTGGCCCTATAAATGTGACAATTCTTTAAATAAACTATCAGTGTGGTTCCAGATTATCCTAGAAGAGCAGATGACATCCAAAAAGTCTAAGAAACCATATTAACTGTGACCAAGAGAAAGTATCCTTGGGAAAAAAGTAAAATTAAGACACTCAACTAAAATGGCACCTAATAATACTGAACATAATTTTATGAAGATAATAATGATAGATGTTGTTTTTCCAAGACATATGACATTGTTAACCAAAGTAAATTAACTTTCCTACAAAATAGGGCCACTGTTAAAAGTTTTTTTCTCCCTACATAAGTTATTTATTGGGTCCTATACAGAATTGATCTCACCTTTTTCAACATTATCTAATATGCCTGAAATGTGAGTAAATGCGGGAGAATCGTGATCAACTAAATTAGAGGATTTGGGAAGATTACGCTAAAGAAGATTTTTATGTCATATTAAGGACTTATAAATTTCTCATATAAGTAATGATAACCCACTGAAAGACTTCAAAAACAGAAATCACAGGACTGTACTTTTGAGTTATGAAGATCCTGGTGACAGTGTTAAAGGTGTGAGTGAGATCAGACTGGAAAAAGAGCTAACAATTAGAAGAAAATTATGAGTACTTAAATAAAAGGGAGAGATGACTCTGAAGGTAATTTGGCAGTCAACTGAAATGCATATACCCAGTAGTTTCATTTGTAGATATAAACCCAGAGACATAATCCCACATATGAATGAATACATTGCTCTAGAAGCTCACTGTGCTGATATTTGCAATATAAAAAAAGTAAAAACCTCAATGAACACCAATAGGGGAATGAGTATAGATGGACTATCAAACAAGAGTTAAAAGGAATGAATTAGATCTATCTATCTATATATGTGTGTGTGTGTGTGTGTATATATATATATAATCATGGTTAAATTTCAAAAATAAAATGAATTAAAAATTAAGTTGCAGACAAATGTACACTGCAGCATATTATTTATGTAAAACAAATAAAACAGCATTATATATGTTCTATTTACCTACAATGACTACAGTCCCTGAGTGCTTTCTCAAGAAATAGTGCCATGTACTATTTTTTTTTTTTTTCCTGAAGAAACAGTGCCAGGTACTGCTCTAAGCACTTTGGATTAACTCGTTTCTTCCTCACAACATCCTTATGACATAGGCACTGTTACTATCCCATTTTATAGATGGAGAAACTGAGGCAAGGAGTTTCAGGATCTTCTCAAAGGCTTGCAGATAAGAAGTGACAGAGCCAGGATTCAAACCCAGGCAGTATGATCCAAAATAAAAAAATGTAAAACTGTAAACATTTCATGCCAAATTCTGAATGCTGTTGATTCTGGACAAGGAAGTGTCCAGGATAGGTGAGTAGAGGTAGAAGGAGACTTTAGTTATATCTGAAATATCTTTTAAGGATGTAGTCAAACAACGTTTAAACAATGTGTTCATTTTTTCCCATAAAAAATGTAAATATATTTAAAAGTCTAGGACAAAAGATGCTAACATGCCATTCTGTCATGGATGACTACGGTTGATGGAAATATGGGGGACTATTCTTACAACTTGTTTGTAGTTTTCAGTATCTTTCAACTTTAAAAAAGGCAATATTGTATGCGCAACTATTTTCTTTCAATTGTTTTTAACTGACGAATAAAATTTGTTCCAGTCCCTTTAAATCTAAATCTTTCTCAACCTTGACACTATTGACATTTTGGGCTGGATAACTGTTGTGAATTTTCATGTACACTGGAGGATGTTTGGCAGCTTCCCTGGTCTCTATCCACTAGTAGCCAGTGAGCATCTCTTTTGCCCCCGGCCCCTAGCAGTGGTGACTAAAAATGTCTCCAGAGGTTGCCAAAGGTCCCCTGGGTGGTAAAACCGCCCCCCCCACACACACCCCCCCACCCCCCCGGCTGAACACAACTACCTTAATAAGCCGAAACACGCTTTTTTTAACTTTATATAATTATTTGAGATTAAAGATTTCAGAGATATTTTGCTCATTAAGCATCTCACACTCCAAGTTGGAAGGATACTGAAGGGATGAAAAAAACTTCAAGCGAATGTAGCACTTAAAATCCAATTATCATTGCAAGGAATGACAGACCCAGGTCTCGGGATGCCCGCTTCCTTCCCTCTCTCCCGCAATGCGGGGACAAGGGGAGGAAATCCAGCCCCATCGCCCCCTCTGCGAAGTCCTGGGAAGGGAAGACTCGCCAGCCCCATCCTACCTCAACGCAGCGGCAACATACCGGAGGCCCCACGTCGATACGGTATCCATCTGCTCCAAACCTCCCGCCAGCGCGCTGCATCCTGGGAGGCCGGGCGGAGGCTGCGTCGAACGCAGAGGAGGCGGAGCCTAGAAGCCAGCCAGGAGAGGTGGCCAAGGGAGGCTGAGGAGGCGGGGCCCTGGGGAGTGTTGTGAAAGCAGAGAGCCCGCGAGCTCTCTAGGGCGGAGCTCCGCGGGGGAAGCGCCGGCGATCTCGCGGCTGGCGGGGGCGGGACCGCAGTGCGGGGGATGTCGCGGGGCGAGGCCAGACGAGAATCGAATGGGACCTAGGCTGAGGGCCTGGTCCCGCCTCCAGACCCAGGCGTCCGCATTGGATTGGGCGGTGCGGCGGCGCTTCTGTCCGCCTTCCGGTGTCACGCGACCGCCTCCCCCTCCCACCCTTCTCTGTCTACCTCTGGGCGGGACTGCCGGGTGATGAGATACTCGGTCGGCGACGGTAGAACGGGCGACGGCGACAACCGCAATCACATCCACGACGGTGATCATGGCAGAGGTGAGGAGCCTATTGCACCGCCGCTGGCCCCCCGGACCCGGAAGCCGCCTCTGAGGCCCGGGGACCGAGCGCCCGTGTGCAGGTGGGCTGGGTTGAGGGTAAGCGGGTTGATGCAAGTAGTATCTAAGGTCCCATCGTGTCTCCCATCCAGAATCACGCCCAGAATAAAGCCAAGCTCATCTCTGAGACCCGGAGGAGGTTCGAAGCTGAGTATGTGACAGGTGGGTACTCTGTTCCAGGTATTAAGAAAGGTGTGCAGTGAGCATCCCCAACTTTGCTGGAGTGTTTGTGAGTGTATTTGTGGGAGGTGTTAGGGACCCTTTCGACCCTCACAGGAATGATGCTGGGCACGTCTCAAAGGTTTTCCTCTCCATGACAAGCCGTGTGCACTGCTTCAAATGGTCAAGTGGTGTGTCCCATGCTCCCTTTAAAGGGTTAATGTAAGTTGGAAATCGGTTAAGTTTTTAGCATGCCCTCGTGTTTATGGAACTTGCAGGATACTTGTTAGGCCCACAACACGGGTGACATTGTCCAGTCCACGGTTCCACTGCTGGCCTTTCACCAGCAACACTAGCGAAAATGTACCTGGAAACTGCCATAATACTATTGATGTGTACTTAATTGGGTATACAAATTCCTTGGATATTTTGTTTGATTTGGCTTTCATACAACCCAGCATGCTACCCACAAAATAGGCCCTCCAATGCTGGAACAAGTTCTTATCCCAAACTGTATCTTGCAAAGTACCTATGAGTCCAGAATTGATTTATTGGTTGAACATTCTGTGTCCAGATGTCACAGATACTTGAGTTGTCAGGTACTTAACTGAATATTTAATGCTTGTACAGTAATTTTGTAAAACATACGGAATAACTTATTGTAAATATGGAATTAAATAAGGATTTATATGTTGCCTACCTTAAGATTGATTGTAATCCTAACCCTGCCACTACATAGCTTACTTGTCTATTCTGAGCCCGTTTTCATATCTGTGAAGTGCAAATAATAAAGTTAGTAGGATTAAATTTTTTAAAAAAACATAAACCATCTAGCATGTCTTAAAATATAGTGGATTCTCAGTGAATATTTTGCCTCAGTTGTCATTTTGGTTACTGTGAAAGGAGTTAAGCTTCTACATCTTGACTAGTACTCAGCAGAGGTTCCCTGCAACTTTAAACCATCCTAGATTATACATCAGTTGATGACATAGAACAAATATGGAAATCGGTTTCAAATACTTGTCAGTAAATCTTTTCATACCTCCTTGCCAATTTTCTTCACACCCCAAACTTTGTTCCAGAGAGTTGCAAAAGCACTTGATTCACTTTTCACCCAGAGTTCCCATTTCTAATAATATAGCTGGTTCCAATAAAGAGATCCTTCTTCAATTGCTTTCTACAGAAATGTAACTATTATAGCTGTTAATACATGGTTTATAATATTTTAAGAAGTAACTCAGAATTCGACCTAATGAGCTAGTAACACCCCAATAGTCATTTATTTATGCCCAAGGGAGGAAGCAGAATACAGGCAGAAATTAGGCAATAAACAAGATCTTAAAGGTCATCTTGGGGCAACCTCCTCATTTTTAAAATGAAGAAAGTGAGGTCTAGAGAGATTAAGAGATTTGCTCAAAATCCCTGATGTTATTGGCTAGGCCAGGACTAGTGCTCATGTCTTCTGATTTTCACTACAGTAATCTTTTGGCAATACCATGATGTCAAGTTAGATCATGTCACTCTCCAGCTTGAAACCCTTCAGTGCCTTTCCAACTGCGTTTAGAATAAAATCCCAATTCTTTATGGTGGCCTGTAATTCAAGGCCATGTGTGATCTGGCTCTTGCCAGCCCCCACCCGCCATCCTCATCTGTTACTACTCTGCTTGCTTAGTGCAGATTTGACCACCGTTCAAAGTAAGATACGTGTTATATGTTGCAACCCAGGACAAACGTGCACACTCACATAACTGAAGCAAAATTTCATTAAAGAATACTTCTGAAAACATGTGACTCTCGATGTATTTTTTTCTATTTGACTTCCTTTTAAAAAATGAAATTACCCACAAACTTAACATCACAATTTAAAATGTGACCCCCAGTTGAAAAACCACGACTAGCCACACTGCCTTGTGTTCCTCAAACAGAATGGGGCTGTTTCAATTTCGGACTTTTCCACTTCTCTTTGCCTGGGAAGATTTTACCCAGGTATTGCGCATGGCTTGGTCCTTTTTTCTCTTCAGTGTTTAAATGTATCCGAGAGGCCTTCACTGATTATTAAATGTCTCCGTCTTGTTTATTTTCTCTGCTTTACAGCCCTTATCGTAATCTGTAATTATCTTGTTCATTGGTTTGTGTGTTTTTCATTTCCTCCAGTAGAGTGTACATGGGTTCCGTAGCAGCCTATAGACATTGAGAGTAGAGGCCTTGTGTGTCTTACTCACCTTTGTATGCCCAGCACAGTTCTCAATATATACTTACTGAATGAATATAGCAATACTTAAATATATACATAAGAAGATTGGTCCAATTTTAAAGATTTGCATGGAAAAAGAAAATAGAAGCCTTTGAAGACCTTCTTACCTTAAGGTTTCAGTTGTTTCCTGGAATATGACAACAAATAAAGGTAGAATTGGAAAGTGATAATAAAAGGGGTGTTTTGTTTGTTTAATTTGCCTGTGTTTTCCCCTTAGAATTTGCTTTTAGAAATTAACTCAGGTGTTTAGAACATCCACTTTCCTTCTTTTTCTTTCACCCTTTCTATTGTCATTAACAATATTTTGTTTCAGAAGAGGCTGAAGGCAGACTTAAGCAAAGTTGATGTTTTTCCTAAAGGAAAATATTTATTTTCTGCAAGTGTGTCACTTCAAGCACAAACTGTATTCCAGAAATGCTTTTGGAGTTAGGTTCTTAGGAATCCCAAGCACATTTTTGTGTCCATAGAAACTAAGTTACCATTATGTATAGATTTTTAGCTGGCAAAAAGAATGAAGTATTAGCCCCTAATTATGGTATTTTTTTCCTTATTGTTTCTGAGAAATTCCATGCTGAATCTCAAATAAGAAACGTTTCCCATTCTTTCTTCCTCTTTCTCATGCCCAAGGAAAGAGACTAATCTCTTGTGACAATAATTTATTAAGTTCCTTGAGTACTCTTTATATGCCTAATTCTGGGAAGCAGTGTATCAGTATTAGAGAAAGAGCGGAGGAAGGGTAGAGCCCCTTCTGAAACTACTACAACCTAGTAGAGGCATTAAAACAGAGATAGCTATTAAAATTAAGGCAAATTGTATTAAGGGTAATGGTGCTGAAATATTTTCTGTAAAAGTCAAAGAGAGAAATAACATCTGGCTGGGGTGACTAGTTTAGCACAGAGTTAGAAAAAAATTCATTAAAAAGGTGGTGTTTCTCATGAACTTTGGAAGATGGTAGAACTCAGCCAGGTAGAGAAGGTGATCCAGGCAGATTGAATAGTCTGAACTGAGGCACTGAGGTCAAAAGGTATGGGGCATGTTCCAAAGTAATAGGAAGTCTACTTTGATAACCTTAAGGAGGGTAAGCACACATGGCTAAATACAGTGGGAATATAGTGTAGAGAGCCTTGGGCACCAGAGTCATGTGTTTGTACTTTAGTTAATATGGAGAGCCATTGAGAGGTTTGTGTGTTTTGTAATTAGGTTTGTTGTCTGGCTTTACAAGTATATGAATTCATTTAAATTAATTTGGGTCATACCAAAAATATCTGAAGAAACCCCCATAAACTTACCATTCAGAGATAGGTGTCATAACAGTGGATACATTGTTTACAGTCTTTTTTCTTTTTTTTCGAGACGGAGTTTCGCTCTTGTTGCCCAGGCTGGAGTGCAATGGCGTGATCTTGGCTCCACACAACCTCTGCCTCCCGGGTTCAAGCAATTGTCCTACCTCAGCCTCCTGAGTAGCTGGGATTACAGGCATGTGCCACCATGCCCAGCTAATTTTGTATTTTTAATAGAGATGCGGTTTCTCCATGTTGGTCAGGCTAGTCTCGAACTCCTGACCTCAGGTGATCGCCTGCCTCGGCCTCCCAAAGTGCTGGGATTACAGGCGTGAGCCACCACGCCCGGCCTACAGTCTTTTTTCTATACACTTAAGAAAACAAAGTTAGAAGACTAT
The DNA here is from genome assembly GCF_000001405.40 of Homo sapiens. Lineage (NCBI taxonomy): Eukaryota > Metazoa > Chordata > Mammalia > Primates > Hominidae > Homo > Homo sapiens. Next base: position 14,877,688 of record NC_000023.11, read on the forward strand.
TCTGGGTTGGGCGCGGTGGCTCACGCCTGTAATCCCAGAACTTTGGGAGGCCGAGGCGGGTGGATTATGAGGTCAGGAGATCAAGACCATCCTGGCGAACACGGTGAAACCCTGTCTCTGCTAAAAATACAAAAAAAAAAAAAATTAGCTGGGCGTGGTGGTGGGCACCTGTAGTCCCAGCTACTCGGGAGGCTGAGGCAGAATGGCGTGAACCCAGGAGGTGGAGCTTGCAGTGAGCACAGATCACACCACTGCACTCCAGCCTGGGCGACAGAGCAAGACTCCATCTCAAAAAAAAAAAAAATTCCGTATATAATTTTGTGTATTATAAAATACATTTTTATTGACATGATTTTATTTCTCCGTATTTATGAAGTAAGCAACATTGTATATTGCCATTTAATATTTGGTTCTATAAATAAAAGATAGTTTTCTTATCTTTTGTCTTAGATAGTCCCTTTGTGGACATTTAGATTCTTTCCAGTTTCATTTAATACAGTTTTTTGTGCAGTAGTTGAGATTATTTCCTTAAGATTCATGTTCAGAAACTGAATTATTGGTTTTAAGAGTGTTTATATTGTTCAGGCCTTTGCTCATATGTGCTAAACTTCCTCCATGGAAGTTGCACCAATATTCATTCCTGCCGGCTTGTAGGAGAGTGTTAGTCTTACCACACCCTTACTCATATTTAGCGTTGTTATTTCTTAACTGATGGTTGTTTTAGTTTGCTTTTGATTGCTAATAAGGGTAAATTATTTTCATGCATTTACATCCATTTGTAGTTTAAACATTTTTTTATTAGTATGACTTTTAATATTGGTCTGGGCTTTTCTTGTTTATGTCACTTTCACTTTTTTCAGTTTTTGAATATATTCAAAATTACCCATTCCTTTGTGGTTTCTTCTATGGCTATTAAGTTAATAGGTTGGTGCGAAAGTAATTGTGGTTTTTGCCATTAAAAGTGACTTTCTAGTCTTTTAATTTTTGTTTTGTTTTGGTTTACTATTTTTTTTCTTCTTTTTTTATTATACTTTAAGTTCTAGGGTACATGTGCACAACGTGCAGGTTTGTTACATATGTATACATGCGCCATGTTGGTGTGCCAACAGTTTACTATTTTTTAATTTTGAGTTTTGGAATTCTGTTTATGTACAAAATGTATAAAACGTGAATAAAATAAACACTCATGTGCTCACTACTCAGCCAAAGAACTAGAGCCTCCCAGTACCTTAGAAGCCTCCTGTATATACCCATGCCTGCTATTCAGGGAACAGTTTTCTGCATTTGGTGTTACTCATTCTCTTACTTCTCATTAAATTTGCAACCTATGACATATTCCTCACCAGTACTTCATTAGGTTTTGCCTCTTTTTGAACTTTATATTAAAGCTGAATATATTTTTTCATGATTTGCTTCTGTTGCTCAAAATTCAGTTATATTCTCAGATATGACTAATTTATTCCTTTTTATGGCTGTGTAGTAGTTCATAGAATAAATATACCAATTAATGGGTTTGGGGTTGTTTCTAGGTTTTTGTATCATGTACAGTATAGCTATGAACATCCTTATACATGTCTGGTGCACACGTGCAAGAATTTGTCTTGGGCAGTGGTTCTCAAAGTTAGTTCAAGAACTGGGGTTCCTTGAGACGTTGCAAGGAGTTTGAGAGGTTAAAACTATTTTCATAATACTAAACTACCATTTTCCTTTTTCACCTTCATCCTCTCACAAGCGTATGGTGGCATTTTCCAGAGGCTGGGTGGCATGTGATGATGACATTGTTCTGATGGCTGATAGACTGTGTGCTTTATGTTCTCATGTCTAATTCTTTTTCTCAATTTTCATACCTAATACAGTAACTAGCAATAAATATAACCCATATCAACAAAGAAACTTTTGGGGGGTCTGCAATTATTTTTAAGAGTGTAAAAGGTGTCCTGAGACCAAAACGTTTGAGAACTGCTGCTCTAGGGTTTGTTTCCACCAGTAAAATGAGTAGGTGGTAGAATAGGCACATTGTTTCACATTCAACTTCAGTAGGTAATGCTGAACTGTTTCCCAAAGTGATTGTACCAGTTTTCATTTTAACCAGCAGTATTTGGGCATCCTTGTTTTTCTACATCCTAAAAATAGGCACTGTAACTTAAAAAAAAATTGCCCATCTGATGGGCATGTTGGGAGATCTCATTGTGGTTTTAATGCCTTTGAATACCAGTGAGATTGAGCTTTTTTTTTCATACCTTTATGGGACCTTTGGTTTCTGCTTCTGTGAAAATTACTCCTTCCAACTCTTCTTGGCCCTTATTTCTTCCATGTAAACTTCAGAATCAGCTTATGTTTCTGCAAAACAAAACAAAAACCACTTTTGTTGGGATTTCAGTGGTATTATGTTAAATCAGAATATAATTTCATGGAAGTTGACATTATCATGGTTGAGTCTTTTTATCCAAGAACCTGGTATATATTTGTATCTGCTAAAGTCTTCCTTGTTGAAAGATTTATCATTTTCCTTATAGTGGTTAACACAGTCTTTTGTTATATTTCTTCCCAAATACTGTATGTGTTTTATTTTTGTTGTTGTTATTTAAATGGTATGTCTTAATATATATTTTCTAAATGATGGTTGCTGGTTTATGGGAAATATATATGACTTTTTTCCATTAATATTGAATTTACTCTTATAAATTCTGATAATTTACCTGGGATTTTTTTATGTACATAATAACCACCTTGAAATATTGATTGTTTTCTTTCTAACTTTCCAATTCTTAAATCTTTCAATACTTTTCCTTTACTACATTGGCTGGAACTTTTATAACACTGTTGAATAGAACCAGTGATAATAGCCTACTTATCTTATTCCTAATGATAGAAAGATAGCTCTGAACATGTCACCATTAAGTATGATCTTTGTATATACCCTTTATCAAAGTGAAGACATTTTCTTCCACTTTTGGTTTGCTAGTTTGGGTTTTTTGTTTGTTTTGTTTAGTTCCCATCATGATTGATGATTGAGTTTTACCAAATGCAGTTTCTTCATCTGTTGCACACATTTATTATATTTGATGACATTTTGATTTGGTTTTTCTCCTTTACTGTGTTAATATGGTAGATTACATTGATTAGGTTTTTAAAATAAATTGCTAAATTCTGTTTACTAATAGTTTAAGAATTTTACATTTGTATTCTTGAATTGGCCTATAATTTTCCTTTCTAGTGTTTTTCTTGTGCAATATTGACATCAAGATTATCTAAGCTTCAGAGTGAGTGTTACCTCTTTTCTATTCCCTATAAGATATATTGATTGTTTAGCACAACCTAATTCCCCAAATTCACCACTCCCCCAATTTGTTATTGTTGTTTTATATATCAGTGTTTGTTTATCTACCATATATTTACTACTATTTTGATTTACCCTTTCTTCCTGAGTTTCAGATCTTGTATCCTGGGTCATTATTGTTTCATCTAAAGTATAACCTTTAGATTTCTCCTGGTGGGATCTGTTGGTAGTAAACTTTCTTGGTCTTGAAAATAGCTTTATTTTGTCCTTTTTTTTTTTTAATTAAGCAATTAGCTTTGAGGAATGCCTTCATTTTGTTAGGCTGAAGGAGACAAAGTGGTTAGAGAAGTAGGAGAACCAGGAAACTTTATTATTGTAGATAACAAAAAAAGGAGAATTTCAAGGACAGGAAGATAAGCAGTAAATGGAAAAAACTCCTGTAGGGTAAAGGGAACATATAACAGGGATTGTCCTTATTGATTACTCTTTCTTGAAAGGAAAATGACATTTAAAATGTAACTATACTACTGGAGAGTTTGCCTATGTGTCTAGACTATGAACCACTCAGGGACCAGCTCAGGCTCCACTCATCTTTGCATCTGCAATACCTGGCTCTTTTAGGCTAGCATGTGGCAGGTGATCAGAGATTAGTGCTCATAGGTAATGAGTTATTATTATTTCCAAGTGAGGAAGCCTTTAAAAGATTGATAAATAAACAGACACACTTGGATTTGCTTAAATTCTACTCCATCATTAACATTCTCAAGATCAACCTTTTTAAAGTTGTCATCATCAGAATAAGAGGAAAAGATCTTAAGAGGTTATCAGATGAATGGATAAAGAAAATGTGGTATATATGCAACTATAAAAAATGATGAGTTCATATCCTTTGTAGGGACATGGATGAAGCTGGAAACCATCATTCTGAGCAAACTATGGCAAGGACAGAAAACCAAACACCGCATGTTCTCACTCATAGGTGGGAATTGAACAATGAGAACACTTGGACACAGGGTGGGGAACATCACACACCAGGGCCTGGCATGGGGTGGGGGAAGGGGGGAGGGATAGCATTAGGAGATATACCTAATGTAAATGACGAGTTAATGGGTGCAGCATAATAAAAAAGAAAAGAAAGAAAATGTGGTATATATATACAGTGGAATACTATTCAGCCTTTTAAAAAGAAGGAAAGCCTATCATTTGTAGCAATTTGGGTGAACTTGGAGGACATGGTAAGTGAAATAAGTGAAATAAACCAGGCCCAGAAAGACAAATACCACATGATCTCACATAAATGTTAATGTTTTAGATTTTTAACATTGAACTCACGCAAGTAGTGAATAGAATGTCAGTTACCAGGGGCTGGAGGGGTGAGGGTTGAGGCGGGAGATTCAAGAGATATGAGTCAAAGGAAACAAAATTTCAATCAGACAGGAGGAATAAGTTCCAGAGATACATTGTACAACATGGAGACTATAGTAAATACAATGTATTACATACTTGAAAATTGCTAAGAGTGTAGATTTTAAGTGTTCTCAGTACAAAAATAAGTATGTGAAGTAATGCATGTCAGTTAGCTTGATTTTGCTATTCCACAGTATATAAACATCATGTTGTATACCATAAATATAATTTTTGTCAATTAAATTAATTTTTTAAAAAGTTACCAATTTTTGTCCTTATTACATATCTAAAAATATCAAGACTGCTTTGGAGAATATCAGATTGTAACTTCACATTGGAGACCAAATTTGGTAAACCTATTTATTTTTGAATGTTTCTTTTCAGTAATGACTTTTTGCAATGCCTGATGAATGTTCTTGTTTTTTTCTTTTTCTTTTTTTTTTTTTTACTCATCTCTTTAAGTTGTTTATACCTGTTCTTCATATATCCTCATTCTGAATGGTTAGGGAAATGTGCAGCTCTAAAGAATCTGTTACTAGGTGCTGGGCGCTGTGGCTCACGCCTGGAATCCCAGCACTTTGGGAGGCCAAGGCGGGTGGATCACAAGGTCAGAAGTTCAAGACCAGCCTGGCCAAGATGGTGAAACCCCATCTCTACTAAAAATACAAAAATTAGCCGGTCGTGGTGGTGGGTGCCTGTAATCCCAGCAACTCGGGAGGCTGAGGCAGAGGATTGCTTGAACCCGGGAGGCGGAGGTTGCAGTGAGCCAAGATCGTGCCACTGAACTCCAGCCTGGGCAACAGAGTGAGACTCCATCTCGAAAAAAAAAAAGAGTCTGTTACTAGAATACTGTCATTTCTAAGATGTGAATTTGTTTTTAGTCATTGTCATTTGGAAAGCTTGCATGAGAGGAGTGGTCTGTTTACCAAATCTACTGTGTGCTCTTGATAGTAGTACTCTATCATATGAATGTTTTTCATTACTGAAAATTTACCCTCTAACAAGAATTTTGGTTTGATAAGATCTCTAGGAGATTGAGTAGTGCTCACAGAAATTCCTAAAGGATTTTTTCTTCCTGTAGCCATTTTGCAAGGAATAGGAGGACAAAAATTTGCTACATTTCAATCAAAACTAGTTTAAGCTGAACTTGTAGTGACTATAAAGATTTGGCATATATGTGTAGAATTTTCTTTGATATTAGATACTAGTACTTACTAGCTGGGCCATGATTTGCAGAAGCTTTTCTTTACCCATTATACTGCTATATATTCACAACTGACATAGGACATTCACAGACTATTTTAAAGTTTTTCTACAAGTACTTACTCTATACCCAGATCATTGGAGGAAGAAAACAGATAAAAATGTGTAAGGAAAAATAAAAGGCATGAGAAACACAATATACATTTAATCAAACTTCCAGAAGGAAAAAAAGAGTGATATTAGAAGAAATAATCATTGACAGTTACCCAGAATTTATAAAAGATATCAAATCCTCAGATTAAAGAACCATAAGAAAATCTGAGCATCATAGGGAAAAAGAAATTAATCTCAATGCTTATTTTAGTGAAACCAAAAAACACCAAGGACAGAGAAAATCTAACAACCCAAAGAGAAATGACACATCCACAAAGAAACAAAAATCAGACTGATACTTGATTTCTCATCAGTAACAGTATTGCCAGGAAACAGTGAAATAATTTTCTGAAAGTGCTGAGGGAAATAACTGCTCACTTAGAACATTTATTCAAAAGTGAAGGTAAAACTTTTTAGGCATGCAAAGATTGACCATTGCTGGAAAAAAAAAAACTACTTGTCTACTTCACTAATAAGTAAATAGTACACCAAAGGAAGCAGAGGGATGCAAGAAGTAATGAAAAGCAAAGAAATGGGTAGGCAAATTAGTAAATAAAAAATCTAACTGTGGATAGTAAGAAAAAACAAATAATAATAAGAGTAGAAGAAATGGAGGTAAAGTATTACAAGGAACTTTCAGAATGAGGATAGAGATACTAACTGCAGATTTTGTTGTTTTCAGTGTGAATACTTAAAATAAGGGTAATCATTGAAAGATAGAAATAAAATGTTTGACTTCCACACCAGTGGAGGAATGAAAAGGGGAATGGAGGAAAAGTCCTCTCCAGGAAGAAGCAGAAAAGGAGAAAAAAAGCAGCTTGGTTACCAGAAAACACAGAGGAAGACAGCAGAAAGAATTCCAACTTTATCAATAGTTACTATAAATATAAACTGATTTCTGCATATTAGATATCAGATTAGATTTTTAAAGATCTTAACTGCATGCAGTCTAAAAGAGACTAACCTAAAATAAATTAATGTAGAAAGGTTGAAAATAGATGGAAAAAGATATACAAAACAAATATTAACCAAAAGTAATGTTGTTTCAGCAGTACTTTAGGTAAAATGTTACTTAGGGTGAAAGACATTAATACATATAAAAAGGGATACTATTTGTGATAAAAGGAACCGTAAAAGGGTATAACACCTAGGAACTAACAACATAAAAAACTACCTAACCATATAACCTTAAAATACTCAAAGCAAAAAGCACCCAGAATCATAAGGGGAACTCAAGAAATCTACAAACATGTTGAATGATTTTAACAACCCTCTTTCAGAAATAGAACTAGCAGGCAAGAAATATTTAAGATTTAGAAGATTTTAACACTACAATGAGCAAATTTGATTATACATATATATGTATGTGTGTATGTATATGAGTATATAGACTCTCCTGCCCAACTAGTACAGAATATATACTTTTTGAATATATATTTGTACTTTCAGAGCTTTTGCAAACATTCACCACATACTAAGTCATAAAGGGGGTCTCAGAAAATTCCAAAGAAGCTACATCATACAGACCATGCCCATACATTATTAAGCAACTACATCAGAAGTCACAATAATAGGTACTTAAAAACATGTCATATGATAGGAAACTAGAATAACACACCTCTAAATAATCCATGGATTACCAACTTCTCAGCAATGGTGTAAATTCTTCTGCTAAATAACCCGTGGGTTAAAGAGGACATCACATTGGAAATTCCAGAGTACTTAAAGTTAAGTGTATCTTCTAAAAACCTACAGCAAATGTGATGTTTAATTGGGGAACTTTAGAATAATTCCTATAAAGTCAGGAAAAAGACAATGATTTCTGCTATTATTTCAATAACTCTACATTATATAGGATAACTTAGTTATGAACGTGGCAGGAAAATATGAGGTATAAAGTTTGCCAATCTTGTCATAGGCTTATGATAACAACACAAAATCCTCTAAACTGCCTAATCTAGCAAAGAAATGTAAGGCTTTTATGGGAAGATTAAGGGTAACTTCAGCTTTATCTATGACATTCTAGTCCTTTTATTAAAAAAAAAACTGAAGCGAATAACTTAATATTTGTTAATTTTGGGTTACAGCTACATAAATATTTGTTAACATTATTTTCTATTCTATAATTTTTTAACTTTTCAAAAGGGAAGGAAATAAAACAGTTTATTAGTGAAGTTCTGGGTCCTCAATGAACTCAAGATCTACTAGGGGATAGACTTGTACATGGCTAATCATTCAGTAACAAAGATTTAGCATGTACTTACTGTGTATTGGGCAGAGTTGGAGGGAGCAGGGTGTGACTTTTCAAAGTCCCTGACTTCATGGAGCTTATTAGAGGAGACAGCATCAGTCCGACTCCTCTCATGCCATCCCCTATTTGAGGAGCTCCTCTCAAAATGACTGACTCTTACTATTATCCTATTAGTTTTGATGAAATTGGGTTTACATTCTCCCATTTGACCAAAATGAGCCAAGGGAATGATTGTAGATAGTGTGCTTATGCGAAGACCTTGAGGCAGAGTCTGTAATATACAGGAATAGACCAAGGTCCATTATATCTAATTAACCTGGATAACTGGCTGGTGACTGATGAGGACCTGGAGAACAGTTTTGAAAGTTTAGCTTTGTTTGTTCAAGTGTACTAAGGAATCCAGCTCTTGAAGGATAAGAACTGAAGCAGAAAGCACCTCCCCTTTTTAGAGTAGACCAGAGATCAGCAAAGTCTTGTTTTTGTATGACCCTTGAGCCGAGCCTTTTAAAGGGTTGTTACATACACACACATACACACACACACACACACATGCACGCACACACACGAGAGAGAGAGAGAGAGAGAGAGAGAAATCAGCAACAGAGAATATAATAAGAATATAATATGGCCCTCAGAGTCTTAGATATTTGCCATCTGGGCCTATACAGAATAAGTTTGCCAGCTCCTGCAGTAGAACAACAGTTCTCAAAGTGTGGTCCCTGACCAGCAGCATCAGCAGTATGTAGGAACTGGTTACAAATACCAATTGTCAGATCCCACCCAGAATTAGACAGTCTAGGGGTGGGGCCCAGTAATTTCAGTTTTAATAAGCCTTCCTAATCATTCTGATATGTGCTGAAGTTGAAGAATCACTGCTATAAACCAATGGCTTAATCCCATTATAAAAGATTACCTGTCTCTCAGTCTCACCAGTTTCACAAGAAAGTGGAGATTCAGAATAGGTTGTGGCCAACTAGCAGAGAATAATCTTGAAGGAATATTTTGTTCTTTTGTCTTGATCACACCCATTACTGACATTTATGCAGTCCAGCTAATAGAAATAGTCCATCCAATACGAATGCTCTCTTAATGCCCCAGAAGGACTTTCAGTGGATCTATGCTCAGAGTCATGGAGAAATAAGAGATCCTAAGATGTTTTAAACTACTATAATGATCTAGAGTTATATGTTTGCTGCTTTGGAATATTAACTGTTCTCTAGTTTTCGTTATTAGAATACTTTATATTTTTTCAACCTTTATCTGAAATTTAGGCACATTTGTAACAACAATGTACTTCCAAGATTTTCCTTACTGGTAAACTAATAGGTAAATTTAAATTTAGTCTTCTTTTCATAGTTAGCATTCTATCGTATGTTGATGGAAAGTCATTTGTATAGTGTTTAAGTTTTTCAGTGTTCTTGATCTTTCTGAGACTGTAGGTAGACAGACCTCATTTTCATTTTACAGAGAAGAATAGAAAGCCTAGAGTGACTTGCTTAGCTTCACTATACATAGTGGCATGGGTCTTCCAAGTCCATCATTCTACTCTATATCCTGAATGTGGCCAGAAATTTTCTCACATTGTTAGCCTTAAAACACAGTTTCAGACCTGTTGGTAACATCACTGGCCAACAAATGCAAGAGAAAAAAAGAAAAGTTAATAATAAAGTTTGCTATTTTACAAGTAAGAGCTATAGTTTCTTTATCTTACAATTTTTAAAAAATTTTATTTTTTTATTTAAAAAATTGTGTGTGAGAGAGAAACAGTGAGTGAGAGAGAACACACATATGCATGTGTATGGAGAGACATGAAAAGCTGAGACAGGTCATCTTTACCTTGGAATATTTAATACTGTGTGTTCCTAGAGACATATCACCATTGTCATGTATCTTTAGTTCTTTCTCTCCCAAATAATGGACTTTACAATTTGTTTGGTGGTAATACACTTGTATAAATAGAAGAACAATTTACAGAGCAAAATTCATATTAGAACAAATAAATAGTAGAAAGGGCCAATGAACCATAGGGTGCTGATAGTTCATTAAGAAGGTTTCTTCATGAAGGATTGGCTGAAATTAGCTATTTTAAAGAAATACAGAGATGAGGCTTAAAAATCCACCACTTGGAATTACTGTTGTTTTTGATGTGGTTTTCACTGGTATTATGAGACAAGCTATCATTTGTGTATGAGGACAAGTATTGGGAGAATATATACACACACACGCACACACACACACACACACACACACACACACACACACACACACCTTTTTATAAAACTGAACCCTTCTGATATGGTTTGGCTCTCTCCCCACCCAAATCTCATCTTGAATTATAACTCCCACAATTCCCATGTGTTGTGGGAGAAACCTGGTGGGAGGTGATTGAATTATGGGGGCAGGTCTTTCCTGCGCTGTTCTCATGATAGTGAATGAGTCTCACGAGATCTGGTCGTTTTAAAAATGGGAGTTTCCCTGCACAACCTCTCTCTTTGCTTGCCACCATCCATGTAAGACATGACTTGCTCCTCCTTGCCTTCTGCCATGGTTGTGAGGCCTCCCTAGCCATGTGGAACTGTAAGTCCATTAAACCTCTTTTTCTTTCCAGTCTCAGGTATGTCTTTATCAGCAGCTATTATGAAAACAGACTAACACAGTAAATATATATATCTATCCTATTAGTTCTGTCCCTCTATAGAACCCTGAATAATACACCTTCTTACCCTCATCTCTACATTTTAATTGTTGATAGGTAAAGTTTTTCAAAAAAATGTCCTAGGGGTGTGTGTGTGTGTGTGTGTGTTTGTGTGCATGCATGTGTGTTTTTATATCTTTAGATAATCTTTTGGGTGTACATCTTTAGCATCTTTCTGTAACATCTTGTCTTAGTCCGTTCTGTGATGCTGTAACAAAATACCTGAAATTTCATCAGTCTTAGTCCGTTTGTCTTGCTATAAAGGAATACCTGAGGCTGAGTGATTTATAAAGAACAGAACAGGGTAATTTATGAAGAACAGAAATTTATTTTCTCAGTTTTGGAGGCTGGGAAGTCTCCGATCAAGGTGCCAGTACTTGGTGTCTAGTAAGGGCCTTCTTGCTGTGTCCTCCTGTGACAGCAAGTGGAAGGGCAAGAGGAGGACACTGCCGCATGAAGCCTCTTTTATAAGGGCCATAATGCCATTCATGAGGGAGGAACCCTTATGGCCTAATCACCTCTTAAAGGCCCTACTCTTAATCCTGTCACATTGGCAACACCTGAATTTAGGAGAGGCTTGCTTCAAACCATAGCACATCTGAACTTACCCAAGGACTGGTTTTCTGAAATTTCCAATCGCTTGAGGGCTCAGTTGTCTGAGGGCTGTGTGTGAAAGCAACAAATTGTGTTGATAAAAGCACAATTATTTATCACCCTTGGCCTTGTGCTTCCAGGCTATGTTTTTCTTACCTTCAATGCTCAGTTTATTCTGTTTCTTTCTCTGCCTCTTTTATCTTTACCTCCCTCACCTTTCTTTCCTCTGTGTCTCATTCTATCTGTCTCTCCCCCTCTCTTCCCCCTCAACCCTCTCCTCTGTCCCATTGTCCTCTGTCGTCTTCTGCCTCTACTTTTCTCCTGCCTCTCTCCCCCAACCCCCATGTGCCTAGCTGTCAAATCTTTGTCTTCTCTTTTCTTTCCCCTACTCTGATTTCATTTCTATTTGTCTAGGGGTAAATGGTCAACAACTAGCATGTTATATGTAAGAACATTAATAAAAATCATTTTAATATAAATGGGGCTTTCTAATTTCAAAGATCAACATTGCTGAAAGCTATCAAAGAGCCGTGGGCTTTAAATTTCTTAGTAATGGACATTCATTTGTTTATGGTATTCCCTAGTGATGGTACTAGCAGTGGTGGTAAAAATGACAACAACAACAATAGTGTTTTATTCTTCTTAATATGGCTAATATTTACTGAGTTTTTACCACTTGCCATATATTGTTCTAAGTAATTGGTTTTTAGAATATATCTGGGGATCCTAGGAGATGCCCAAGACTTTCAGAAAGCTATGAGGTCAAAACTATTTTCATAATAATGCTAAGATATCATTTGCCTTTTTCACTTTCTTTACATTTGCACTGATTACACAGAAGCAATGATGTGTAATCAGTACTGGCTGCTTCGCCCAAATCAAGGCAGGTAGTCATTGTAGTCCTCATTGTCAGCACTCTTAGTTTAAAAAAAAAAAGACAATTTTATTTTAGAAAGTCCCTGATGAAACAGTAAATTGTATTAAGTTTTGACCCTTGAGTACATGTCCTTTCAATGTTCTGTGTGACAAAATCGGGAAGTGTGCATAAAACACTTCTGCATGCTAAGTATGTTTGAGTTGCCAGCTGAATTAGTCACCTGTTTCATAGGCCACCCTTTTTACTTGAAAAAAATTGTAAAAAATGTGTTTTGAATACTGATGAATTTTCAAATAGCAGAGCTAAACAACAATCTCTAAGATTACCTACCACAGAACCACTCATTTTATAGATTAGAAAAATACAACCCAGCTATTAAAAGCCATATCCAAAGCAGCACTCTTACAAATGCATGATTTATGGCCTCTTCTTATATTTTATAGTGCTTTAAATTTCCACTAAATTTAGTGCTTTAAATATATAAAATTAGTGCTTTAAATATATACTTTTTCATCCGATCCTCACACAGCATTGTGAGTATATAAAACAGCTTAAAGATAAGGAAATTGAGACTCAAAGAAGACAATTCTCTGAATGCAGTCTATATTTTCCTGGCCTTTCAGCTATTATCTCTGAGGACCTGAAATAAGGCAGTGCAAATCAAGAAGAGATAGGATCCATAAAACCTGGCAACTAACTAGATGCAGAAGAAAAGGAAATGAAGGAGCCAGGGAATTTCCTGAAGTTGTTTTGCTTTGTTTTGTTTTCTTTTGTTTTTTGTATGAACCTTAGGAGGGTATGACAACTGAGAAAAAAATGAGAAGGAATAGATTCCATCAACAGATGTTTATGGAAGGCCTTTTCATTGGCACTACTGTAATCTGCTTTGGAGGATGCTCAGATGTATAGACTATCTGTCTCTACTGTCTATTTGGGAAATATGTCTTCCGTGCTAGTAACTGTATTTCAAGGTAAAAGTGGTAAGCACCTTAAGAAAAGCTTAGTTCAAGTTCCATAAAAGTAATTGCTTTTGCACCAACCTAATACTTCTGGACTCAGGGAAAATTTTATGGAATAGGGAGCATTTGAAAGGAGACTTGCAGAATGGTAGCATTTGGATGTGCAGAGACAAGGAAGGTTCAGTTACAGAATAATAAAGCAGGGCAAGGAAGGAGGAATGTCTGCTATACAAGTTAGTGGGAATATAGTGTGTGTGTGAGCAACTGATGAGAAATTATTGTTATTAGAAATAATTATTCCAAGAAATTATTGAAAATGTGTTGGCCAGAGTCTGAAAATAGTAAATACCGTAATATGGCATACATGATCAGTTTTCCATCGGTACTTAGTTAATTTTTTTTTTACTGTTTTTTATTGTTGTTGTTTTTTCTTTTTTTGTCTTTATTTTTATATTTAATTTATTTATTTATTTTTTTTTTTAGACAGAGTCTCACTCTGTCACCAGGCTGGAGTGCAGTGGCACAATCTCAGCTCACTGCAACCTCCACCTCCCGGGTTCAAGCGATTCTCTTGCCTCAGCCACCCTGGTAGCTGAGACTACAGGGTGCGCCACCACGCCCAGCTAATTTTTGTATTTTTAGTAGAGACGGGGTTTCTCCATGTTGCCCAGGCTGGTCTCAAATTCCTGACCTCAGGTGATCCGCCTGCCTCAGCCTCCCAAAGTGCTGGGATTACAGGCATGAGCCACCACACCTGGCCTACTTAATTTTTTTTTAATGACACTTGCCAAACAAATGTCTTTTTAAAGCACAACTTAGTTATTTCTTTACATATGAAATTTCTTCATTTTTCATTGACTTAAGAATTTCAAGTTCAGATAACATAATTAATCTTCCCAGATGTTGGTGTATAGTTTTAGAGAGGGCTATACCAAATACTTTACTCTGGTGTAATTTTTAACATCTGTAGTGGCTTACTTAAACCTGCAGTCTTTAGATAACGCATTCTCCTCACACTTGGGAATTCCATCAGTCTTAGTCCATTTGTGTTGCTATAAAGGAATACCTGAGGCTGAGTGATTTATAAAGAAAAGAGGTTTATTTGGCCCATGGTTCTGCAGGCTATACAAGAAGTATGGTGTCAATATCTGCTTCTGATCAGGACCTCAGGAAGATTCCACTCATGACGTAAGATGAAGGAAAGCAGGCATCACATGGTGAGAGAGAAAAGGCAAGAGAGAAAGGAGGAGGTGCCAGGCTCTTTTCAACAATCAGTTCGTGCGGGAACTAAGAGCAAGAATTCAGTCGTTGTCATGAGAATGATACCAAACTACTCTTGAGGAGTCCTCCCCATGACCCAAACACCTCCCACCAGACCCCACCTCCAACACTGGGCATCAGATTTCAACAAGAGACTTGGGGGAACCAAGCAAACCATATCCAAACAATAGCACCATCAATCTTTTAAATGGCGCTTTTATCTGAACTACATCCCTGAGTCTATCCTCAAATAGCTTAACTTTGTCTTGGAAGTCTTTCTTCTCCTTTGCCATTAGTGGTTATTTTTCACTGCAGAATTAATCTGACTTGGATGTTTATTACTGTTTTTTCCCTAGATAAGTCAGATAAATATGATGCACGTGATGTTGAAAGGCTACAACAAGATGATAACTGGGTTGAAAGTTACTTATCTTGGAGACATAATATTGTAGATGAAACACTGAAGATGCTCGATGAGAGTTTTCAGTGGAGGAAAGAAATTTCTGTCAATGGTAAGCTGTTCAATTTAACCTTGACTGTAATATATACTGTATAAATGGTATTGTTTTACATTTATCTAATCATGTATTTGCACATATTCCTAGCAGTCATCATAAACACCAGAATATAATTATTTATAAAGACCCAGTAATATTTTCAAAGGAACAGCTTATAAGTCTTTTAAGTGGGATCATTCATAAGGAAATCAGATCACCAGAGAGCAGAATCACACTCAGATTCTTCATTCACAGCAGAGTTTCCTAATCTGTGTTTAATTCAGTACCATTAAGCAATAGCAAGACAGTATCTTTGCTACTAGGCCTAGAAATAAGGAGATACTGTCCATTTTTCTCAGTTGTTGCCTATGCCTTTCTCTGTCCCCACAGTTCCTTGTGCTAATAGGTTAATAGGTACGCCATATAGAATTGTTAAATGAATGAGAGTCACCCCAAAAATGCAAGCTTATCCCCAAGGAAGCCTATCACAGTCTTCTCTGTATATTGTTTTTATTTTTGTGGGTACATAGTAGATGTACATATTTTGGGGTACATGCAGCCTTAACTTCTTAATTTCTAAGTCTGCTACTAGATAGAATTTTTTTCCAAAAATGAGAGTTTCAAGTCTTGGAGTTTTATAATGGTCTTCAAGTATATGAAGACCTGTTAGTTCTCTCCACCAAAAAATTGAACAAGAAGAAACTGGCATAACTTCTGTTTTCAGTTAGGCATAAAGCAGAATTTTCTGTCCTTGAGGATTATAACCTCTGAAGTGACTTCAATCTGAAGACTTAACACAAAATAGTCAACAATAAATCCAGAGCAGATACTCTCCTCACTCTTCATGCTTGCAGAAGGAATCCCTGAAAGGGGGATTAGTAAAAAATAATGTGATTGGAAATTTAACAAATGTAGGTAATTTCAACAGTGAAGCATTTATTAACCAAAGAAAGAAATATAAATCTGATATTTTTAAACGATTTAAGTACTGAATAAATATTTAAACTCAACAATGTTTGTTTTCTTACACAGAATTGCTATTTCCTGGTGAAAAATAGCAGAGATATGGTAAAAGGGGATGGGGAAAGATAAATCTTTGAAAGGTCTTAAGGTACTGCTGGTGAATGAAACAAAAACATTGGCATTTGCTGCCTTGCTATGTTGGTCCTTAGCCTCCCCAAAAACTGGAGAGGCACTCTGTTTGTTCCTCCTGCTGAAGTTCAAGTTCTCACATTTTTTGTTTTCTTTTCTTATCTTCTCTTTTCTTTCTTTCTTTATTTTATTTTGAGGCAGGGTCTTGCTCTGTCACCCAGGCTGGAATGCAGTGTTGTGATCATAGCTCACTGCAGCCTTCAATGCCTGGGCTCAGGTGAGCCTCCCACCTCAGCCTCCTGAGTAGCTGGGACGACAGGCATGTGCTCCCATGCCTGGCTAATATTTATTTATTGATTGATTTTTTTTTTTTTTTTTTTGAGATGGAATCTGGCTCTGTCACCCAGGCTGGAGTGCATGGCGTGATCTCGGCTCACTACAAGCTCAGCCTCCTGAGTGCACGCCATTCTCCTGCCTCAACCTCCCAAGTAGCTGGGACTACAGGCGCCCACCACCAAGCCTGGCTAATTTTTTATATTTTTAGCAGAGACAGGGTTTCACTGTGTTAGCCAGGATGGTCTCGATCTCCTGACCTCGTGATCTGCCCTCCTCAGCCTCCCAAAGTTCTGGGGTTACAGGCGTGAGCCACCACACCCAGCCTAATTTTTATATTTTTATCTTTGTAGAGAGGTTGTCTCACTGTGTTGCCCAGGCTGGTCTCGAACTCCTGGCCTCAAATGATACTCCCGTGTTGGCCTCCCAAAGTGCTGGGATTACATGAGTCACCATGCCTGGCCATTTTTCTTGAAGTATTTTCCACTTTCCTAAAGGTTTTTAAATGCATTAAAGTCTACTAGATAACAAACTTAATATTAGATTGGTGCAAAAGTAATTGCAGCATTTGCCATTATGTTTAACTGCAAATACCACAGTTACTTTTGCATGAACCTAATAGAAAAATACCATTTTACTAAAGAAACCAAAGTGATTTTTTTCTACTAATTCTGAGGCTGCAATGTGGATATTTACTAGAATGTTCTCTTGAAACTCTGACAGTGATATTTGTTTGCAAGTCATTATGTGAAACAATCAAAATGTGGAAATGTATCCACATAAATAATGACCTGTCAAGGGAAATGGAGTTTGTCCATTTTGGTCCCCTGTGTCATTATTTAGTTTGTTTGCTTGGTAGGAAGCACCACTTTATATTGCCAGAGATTTTTTTTTGAATGTTTGGGTACATTATATCATTTTTAAAGCTCAGAACTACTACATAACATTATCTTTACATTATGAGTTTTATTTTTAAACCCCTAAATTACAACTACTGATCAAAGCTTACCACTTTTTAGACCTTAATGAATCCTCCATTCCCAGATGGTTATTGGAAATTGGTGTTATTTATCTCCATGGTTATGACAAAGAAGGTAACAAATTGTGTAAGTATATTTAATTTATGTTCTGGCTTTTCAAGATTTTGAGATTGAGATATCTATGTCAACTGAATTAAGAATTGGCAGAACTTTCTCCATCTGTAGCACTCCTCAGGTCTTCTGCAATGAGGGATTGGCAGGACCATTTTTACAGAGTGTTAGATACTTAGTAGCTGTGCATACTGTTTGCATTATAATAAAGTAGGCAATAAAGGCAAAAAATAAATGCTGCATCCTACAGCATAAACAAAGTTATTTAATTCAGAGTCATTATCTTCTTTCTAATCTGACTGTGATATTAAAACTCGTCTTAGTATTTTTATGGAGAATTTTTTTGACAGTCGCTAAAGGTTGCTAAATAGGCCTTTTCCTTTTCGAGTCTCCCATAATCTCACTCTAGCTTTTTCTGAAATGTGTATTATAATGAAAGGAACAGTAACAATCATCTCTTTTGTTCCAATGACTCCCCTGTTATACCTCTCTCCCACTTGCCCCAAATCCAGCCTGGTTTTATACCAGGGATGCAACTTGGCAGGCATGTTCAAGCCCCATACTGAACAGATGTCCTGCACTCATCTTCACTCCTCCATAGCATGTGGTCCGTCTCTGAGCAATACTCTTTTTGCATTTTCCTCTTACTGCCACCTCCTCCTTTTCAACCTTTTTTTTCTCATTTTTCTTCTTCCACCTGTCCCTTAAAGGTGTTTCCCAGGCTTTATTCCTTTCTTGCTTCTTTTACTTTACAGCTGATACAGTCTCCTTGGGTGATCAATCACGAGCATCTTGGCAGCTTTAGCTACCTCCCCCGGCACAGTATTGACCCCACACCATCCCCAGGCCACATGCACATACCTAGCTACCCACTGACTGCCCCCTCCTGACTGTCAGCAGCCTTTAGCACAACACACTACTGAACATCCATGCCTGTCCACTTGCTCACTTTCTGTATTGCCCACCTCAGGCCCACTCATTGGCTCTTCCTCTAATATAGCTTCAATTTGGCCTTTTATCCATCCTCACCAGCTACTTCCTCAATTCAGTTTCTAACTACTACACCTTTGCCCCAGTCCCTTCCCAGGTCATAACCTGGTGGGTTTCCTTCTCTGCCTCCTCCAGTCTGCCCTCTGTGCTATTGCCCGAAAGGTGTTCTAAAATAGGAAAATGAAAGTGCCCTAGAGTTTCATTCACAGTCCTTCAAGTCCAGTTCTTTCTTATTTAGCTTCTCCTCTCACCACTCATCACATTTCATCTTAGCTACCACCACCTGAACAGTTTACCGTGCTCCACACACACGCACGGCACTGGCTCATGCCTCCATCGCCCTGTGTCAGTATCTTTCCTCTGGACGGAACATTTTTTCCAGTGCTCGACAAAAGCAATGACTTTCTTTTTTGTTAAGCACAATGCAGAGCACATTTAGATTATTATCAAATAGTGTTTGTTCACCTGTATTTTCTTTTCCCTCTTACAAGTGAAATTTGTTTATTTCCTAAGGGAAACAGTCTATCTCTCTGCTACTCTTCAATTTAAGGCACCCAAGTGCAACAGTTTCTCATTGAAAATAAGAAAGAGATGTTTTTGATCTAAGAAATAAAATGAATTGTAAATGAAAAATGTCAAGGGAAAGGCAATATATATGTATAATAATATTATAATGCCATAAGTCTTGTTCTTATTTTTATCTTCTGCTTAAAGTCTGGATCAGGGTGAAGTATCATGTAAAAGACCAGAAAACCATATTGGACAAAAAGAAGCTCATAGCATTCTGGTTGGAACGTTATGCTAAGAGGGAAAATGGGAAACCTGTAACAGTGATGTTTGACCTGTCAGAAACTGGAATAAATAGCATTGTAAGCATTTTTTCATTCATTCCAAATCAGTGTTTATCATGGCTTCCTCCCTTTCTCCTGTCCTTGCTGCCAACCACATATTGCTGTAAAATTGAGGTAACTAACTTATATTAGGGATTTATTTTTTCACCTTGCAGTGTGAGTGTAGTCAAACATGGAATAGGGTTTGCAGAGAATTAAATTTGTTTCTGTATTTGGCGTTGAAACTGTCGATTTCCTAGAAATGTTCCTTGTCTGAGACACAGGATGGAGAGGTAGCATGTCGAGGCTGGCAAGGTATGAATCGATGTGATAACTGTGAACTTTGATATCAAAGCTAATATCCTATAGCACCTGCCCCGGTGTGTGCCACATAGTAATATATTCAGGAAATATCAAGTAAGGTAATATACCATCTCGAATTTGTTATATTCATACCATGTTTTACAGTTGCAAGATGTTCACATGAGTTTTGCACATATAACACTTTGTGATTTTATTGAGTGTTTTTGTTTGCTTGTTTGGATTTGTTTTCTATCTGTTTGATTTGGTTAGCTTTGGAAACCAGTTTTCTTCAGGTGATTTTGCCAAGCTTGAAAAATAAGTAAAACCTACCTGTCTTTAATTTGGGTCCTTGTGACCTTAGTGATACCTACAAACCCTTCAGCAGCAATTGAGATCACTTGGCACATTTATTCTAACTACTGTCTCTTATATTTAATCTGTGGCTAATTCTGATAGCAGTAATGTCGTATTCACAAACGTGCTCAGGGCAGTGTTGAAATCTTTTTGGAATTCCATTTGGCAAATTATGTTAAGAACCTTAAAGTGTTTGTATTTATATTCTTTGCCTGGTAACCAACTTCTGGAAATCTATTCTAAAGAAATAATCCTGAGTACAGAAAAAGCATCATACATCAAAATATTTTCCCAGTGTCATTTAAAGTAATGAAAAATTAGAAAAAAATATAAATGTTCAACATGATGAAATGGCAAATTATGGTATATCTAGTTAGTTGATGGAGTATACATATAGCTATGTAAAATGGTGTTTTTAAGGAATTTATAGTAATATTGGAGAGAACACTTTTTTCTGAGATGAAAAAAGCTGTATGATTATACATACTATAATATGTATGTATTCTATACCATGGTGATACATAGCCCAACAAAGGAAACTGTAGACATAACACAAAACCAGCTAGAGAGAACTGCTAACAAGAGCTTTCTTGCAGTGGTAGGACCACAAATTTTTTTCATGTTTCTATTTCTCTTTTTATTTTTCAAGGATCCGATGCCCTGGAGTTTTCCAACCTAGTTTCCATGTCAGTGGTTTTAAATTAGAGAAAGTAAATTATTTTATATCCAAAATCAAAATCAATTTGCCTAGATAAATAAATATTCCATAAAAATAAATCCTGATTCTTTTGTCCTTTGGATATGATAGTTTCCTAATTATTAACCCAGAATCATGAAGAATAAATGTTAATATTTTTGTTGCCAAGTATAAGGACAGAGAATTGACTTGAACTGTTTTATTTTTTCAAGCTACTTATATCTCACCATCTTTAATTTGTAAATAAGGTGTATTTGCACTACTAAGTATTTAAGTCATTATTGTTTTAAAATACTTGAATCTTACTGAATAATTTATTTTCATAAATGACCCTTTCATGAGTCACAAAGAATTTAAGTGAGCTTATAAACATGTCACAAAGAATTTAGGTGAGCTTATAAATTTCAAGGCAAAAAATAAGAAAATCATTTGTTAGAGTTGGGACACCAGTTTGGCTCTAAGCTTTCAGCTGCCTGCCTGAAAGAAATGCAATCATTTAAAATTATTCAGCGGCCATCCTTCACAACCAGTGTCTTAGAAGTATATCCATTCCTAATACTTGAACTAGAAAGTCTTTCATGGGTCCTCAAAAGGACGTTTTACAAGATAATAACAGCCTCCTCGAAAACATCCTTATAGAATGCTGAGCAATAGGGTTGATGGAGCTATTTCTTGTAGTCCCCATTAATAGAATACACCAGTGACATCTTATCATATCCACTTGAATTAGCAGTAACTCACGATTTTACGAAGAAGGATATTCAATTAAATAAATGATAGAAACAAGAATGTTATTCCAAGACTATTTAGACAAAGTCTCTGGGGGCCATAAATTCTAGACTAGGTAACCACATTTTTATATAACTGGTTCTTTTCAGCTATTTTCTTTGACTGTTACTTAACTGCCAATTATGAAAACTCCATGCACAGTGGCTATAATGATTAGTTACAAAGGTATTATTATATATATATATACACACAAAGGTATTTTATATATATATATTATATACATACACACACACACACACACACACACACACACACACACACACAAAGGTATTATTATATATATACCCATAACAAATACTTAAGATAGTTAAGGATGCTTACTTTTAGTTTACTGCAATTAAAGATGCTGCAACTAACATTCCAGGGATGAATTTATAGACACTTATCTCTAGGAAAACCCACCTTTCCAGTAATTGTGATGGATTTCAGTTTGCTTGGTTGTATCTTTCATCCCACAGTCTTTATAAGATGGCCAATCAGAATTAGTGAATCAGTATGTGGCCATGGAGTGAAATGACTCATGGAAATAACCTTAATGACCTAATTTCCTGTTGCTGTGCTCAAAGCAGTAGAACCAACCAGATAGCTATGTTTGTAGTCTCCCAGAAATCAGAATCAGTGAACAACACTGGAATATAAACTAAAAAACTAATTCTAGGTCTCTAAATAAAATTTAAAAAGCCAGAAATGGAGTAGATACAGCAGGCCAATGTGATTAGATTAAGTATTGTGTTTAAAAAAGGTTGATAAAATATATTTTATTGACACTATTATGTGGTGTAAAAATTAGGATTAAAAAGCAAATATATGAGAATTTACATACATGTGTATTATTATCCCAAGTAGTCTGATTATAAACTGTATACTTGTTTCAATAATTCTTTAGTTATTCAACAGATTTTTAGAATTTCTCTATGGAGATTGCTTTTAGATCCATTTTATGCCCTGTTGCCTTAGTAGCCTGAAGTGTGTAACTAGTTTGAGGTAATGTGAATAATTTTAAAACATCACTAAGCATCTGGTTTCTTCAAGTCAGTTTTAGGGCTGATTATTATAAATAGCTTAATGACCTAAAACCTTAATCCTTGAGAATATAGATATTTACATATGAGCTTACTTTTTAAAGAATTTAATAATTGTCTCACTTGTATTTAATAATTTATCACCTTTAGAAATGTGCAATTTTAAGTTCTCTAATGTGGACAGTCTTAAAGATTTAATCTTTATTTTAGGACATGGACTTTGTACGCTTTATCATCAACTGCTTTAAGGTTTATTACCCTAAATACCTCTGTAAGTAACTTACTCCTTTATAAAAAATATAACATATTGAAACTGTAGACAATGTCTGAGAATTGTGGAGCCTTATGTTATTATAGACTTTCATACCTGAAACTTTGTTTTCTGATGAAGAATTTTAAATGTGTTCATAGACATTATTGTAACACATACAGAGGAAAGTTTTTCATAAGTATTCATTGTCCTTCACAGTTAATTTTAAGAGTTTAAGTTCTAAACTATATATATGGCATCCTATAACACACACACCCACTCACACACATAGGTACATAAAAGCATACATTTATTTCAAAATTATCTCATTTTTACTAATATTTCAATTTAGAAATTCATTTCAAATAGTATTTATTATATGAAACTTCTTGCATACAAGAACAGATAAGCAGTATTGATAGAGTACACTGTATAATAAGCAATATTGATATATAAAGTACACTGTTACCAACTGCTACTTAAAAATTGTCATTAAGAAAATACTTGACTAGAAGGTACTACATTTGAATCTGGCATTTGGAGTTTGTTTGTTTTTTATTGTGACTATTCCATTAATTACCTGAATGAAGAACTCCTAAACCTTATATAGTCCATTTTTTACTTGTTGAATTTGTATGATGGGTTCACCCTAGGGAAGCCGAGATGCCAACTCACATAAACAGTCAAGTATATTTAACCCCAATGGTTTAAAAGTGAAAAGACAGCAGAGAGGCAACAGGGATGTCAGAAAATGGGAATTTACAGATCTGCCTGAGCGTACTCCTAGAAAACAGCAAATTGGGTCTTTTGGGACTCGTGACTCAGGTGACTTTAGCATAAAATCCCTAAATTATCTTAATTTGGCATGTTAATTTTATTGTTAATGTGAAGTGAGGAATAGACAAAAAGCATAATGGATATCAAGAGTCAGTGCCACCCCTAGCTGTATACTCTCATCTTTTCAGAGAGAGTATTCATGAATATTTTTAGGTAAAAAGAATGATCAATAGTGTCCAGTTTGGGGAACCTGTACTATCTTCTGTTCCTTATGGATTTTTCCTGTATCTGGCATGTACCCTGATTCCTTAAGGCCTCCAGAGCAGTGCCAGTCATTGGTCAGTAGGGAATCACTACCCCATAGTTTTAGTTTGTTGCTCTTATGGACAAAATGAAAAAATATCCACTTGATCATTGAAATATCTAAAGGAGTTTGTGAAGAGCCACTTATCAGTAGTATAAATATTATTATTACTTTGTAAAATACATCTGAGATTCTTTTGAGAGAACTATTAAAAAGTTAATAGATCTATATAAAGATGAGTTGTAATACTATTCATCTTAACTAGAGATTTTATATATATATATATACACACACACATATATATATATTCTACCTACATAATATAGTTTTGCAGACATTGAATTTCGTGGAATCTTAATTGATTATGCTTCAAAATCTGTCATGAAGAATAACTATTATATCTTAAAATCTTGAGTCCACATTATTTTAAGCATATCCCAGACGAAGACTGAGGTATTAAGCACCAGGGTGCCTCTTTACAGATGCCTTTTTCCTTATATGTACTTTACTTGTCCTACATTAATGCAACAACTCTAAGAGGTTCTCTGCTCAGAGAAGAGTGAAATTACATTTTGATTCCTCTGGAATAGAGGAATGAATTGAATCTCAAAAATCTTCTTTGCAGTTTCTGGTTCTTTCTCACAGTTGTCTCAGTTGTTAATAGGGCTGTTTAGTATCTTCAACTCAGTGTGTAAATAATACTTATGCATACTTTGGAATTATTAGCTTCCTGGAGCTCATGATATAAAGTAGAAATAATTTTTGTTTCTGAAAACGTAGTGATGTATTAAAAGGGGAGGGGGCAACTGTGAGACTGGTTTAACAATAGAATCTCTAGAAAATTGTAATTGAAACCATAAATTAGACCTGGAAATGATTTTAAAGTTCAGTGGCTTCAGCACTACTTTGACATGCCACATCCAAAAACTCCATTTATCCACTTAACTGTTTTCTTTTGTACCTCCCTGCAAACAACAAAAGCAGTGAGTGACAAAAGAATAGGCTGTTTACCAGAGGACAGTGACAGTGCACTATTGATTTCCCACAAGTCTTCCTCCTGGGCTGGCACCTCACCATTGTGACATGCTAGTTCAGTTCCAGCACCACATGGAATACTATTCATGATACTATACACTTCACTGAATTAGAGCTCAGACAACAAGCTCAGTTTTTACTTAAATTTAGATGACCAGTTTTTTCTAGGCTGGTATGAGTGATATTATTATAGAGGTACTGATTCACATTCAATGAATTTTTTTTCATCTTTCAGCAAAAATAGTGATCTTTGATATGCCTTGGTTAATGAATGGTGAGTATATTTATACTTTCTTAAAACAAAATGTCTAATTTCCTTTACTTTGCCGATTTAGCCATATTTCTACAATTGTTTAAAATAATGTTTATATTGTCCTTTGCATGCTCTCTTAAGAGACTGGAGCTAGAACACTCAAAGGCTATTCCTAAGCAAACAGGGCTAAAATTTTATACCCAGGATCTGGGGGCACCCATTAGTCTTCTTTAAAAACAGCCTTGCCAGGCATGGTGTTGCACGGCTATAGTCCTAGCTACTCAGGAGGCTGAGGCAGGAGGATCACTTGAACCCATGAGTTTGAGGCCAGCCTGGGCAACATAATGATACCCATCTCTTAAAAAAAAAAAAAAATTAACAACAGCCTCAAATATTCAACCATTAAGGTAATACTCTAGTCAGAAGCCTCAATTTGTCATGCACAGATAAGGTATGTCACAGAACACAGGCCTTGTCTAGGTTTCTCATGGGCTTCAGGTGTTGAGAAAGAAGGTGGAATCAGTCTGAAACTCACCCCAAATCACTGTAGTGACATGACCCTTTTGACAGTCATGATATATTTTTTGGTAAAATTTTTTTGAAAAAGCCATTGATTGATAAACTGTCTTGACCAACTTTAAAATTACTGTAAATTGAATGTTATTTTCAGAATGTACATTCTCATTTGTGTTTGCAAAAGTCAGTTGTTACATAGAAAGCAATAGAGAAAATCAACAAATCCAAAATTTGGTTCTTTGGAAAATGCAACACAATTGACAAACCTTTAGCTAATAAAGAAGAAAAGGAAAGACTCAAAGTATTAAAATCTGTAATGAAAGAAGGGACATTACTATTGACCTTAAAGAAATAAAAAGGACTATAGGGAGATACTGTGAATGATTATATGCAAAGAAATTAGATAACCTACATGAAGTGAACAAATTCTTAGAAAGACACAAACTACTGAAACTAATTCAAGAAGAATCAGAATAGAAATATAAAAAAGGAAGTTGAATTAGTAATCAAAAAAAACTTCCCACGAAGAAAAGCCCAGGCCCAGATGGCTTCACTGGTAAATTATGTGAAATATTTAAAGAAGAATCAACATGAATCCTTCACAAATTCTTCCAAGAAATAGAAGAAGAGGGAATACTTTCCAACTTATTTTATGAGGCAAGTATAACCATAATACCAAACATCACAGGAAAAGAAAACTACAGACTGGTATTCCTTATGAAAATAGATGCAACAGCCCTCAACGAAGTACTAGCAAATTGAATCCAGCAGCATATAAAAAGGATTATACACCATGACCAAGTGGGCTCAACATATGAAAATCAACTAATGTAATCTACCATATTAATATAATGAAGGGGAAAATTATGTGATCATCTCAAGAGACACAGAAAAAGCATTTGACAAAATCTAGTACCCTCTCATGATAAAAGTACTCAACAAACTAGCAACGTAAGGTGCAAAGAGTTGAAACAACTACCAAGTTAGACCACAGTAGTCCACACAAGACCACCCCCATTTCTGACACAAACTGCAAGTTCAGGAGGTGCTCAAAATTGCCCTTAGGTTTGATAAGTCTAGTGAAGGACTCTGAGAACTCACTGAAAACTATTATACTCACAATTATGGTTTATTACAGGGAAAGAATTTAGATTAAGGTCAACCACAGAAAGTAAGGTGTAGGGCAGAGTCCAAGGAAGTACCAAATGTTGAGCATATTACTTCACTGGCATCAATGTGTGGCAATGTGCATGGAGTTAGTCAACCTGGGAAGCTCACCCAAGCCTCAGTGTTCAGAGTTTTTATTGGAACTCCATTATGTAAGCATGATTGATTGCCCATGTGGTTGATCTTAGTCTTCAGTCTCCCCCAAGGTCTACTGATACTGTGTAACCCAAACGCCTACCCTGAATCACACTGTTGGTCTTTCTTCTATGGCCAGTTCCTACCCTAAGTCATATTGTCCCATTGTCACTTAAGGCCCCCAGACAAACAAAGACAATCCTATCAGGCATGAAGATTACCTCTCAGAAGCTGAGGGCAAAGTGCAGATCTCTCTTTGGGTAAGGCTAATCCTTCACAGAAAAGAACTTCCTCCACCTGTTTATAAAGGGCATATATGAAAAACCTGAATCTATGAAAACCCACAGCTAACATCTTACTTAGCAGGGAAAGAATGGATGCTTCCCCCCTAAGATCAGTAACAAGACAACACTGTCTCTCTTACCACTTCTATTAATAAAAGAAGTTCAAGACAAGGACACGGAAAATTACAAAACCCCATTTTAGTAAATTCAAGCCTTACATAAATGAAAAGACATGTTGTTCATGGATTGGAAGACTTAATACAGTCTTTCTTCAGTATCCATGGGGGACTGGTTCCAGAACCCCTCCCCCACCACCACCACAGACTCCAAAATCCTTGGATGCTCAAGTCCCTCATATAAAATCGTATAGTATTTGCATGTAACTGACACACGTCTTCCTGTATACCTTTTTTTTTGTTTGTTTTTTGAGATGAGTCTCATTCTGTCACCTAGGCTGGAGTACATTATCACAATCTCAGCTCACTGCATCCTCTGCCTCCCAGGTTCAAACGATTCTCCTGCCTCAGCCTCCCAAGTAGCTGGGACTATAGGCACCTACCACCACACCTGGCTAATTTTTATATTTTTAGTAGACACAAGGTTTCACCACATTTGCCAGGCTGGTCTAGTCTTGAACCTCAAGTGCTCTGCCTGCCCCGCCCTCCCAAAGTGCTAGGATTACAGGCATAAGTCATCATACCTGGCCCCTCCTATATACTTTAAATCATCTTTAGATTATTTATAATACCTAACACAGTGTGAGTGCTATATAGTTGTTCTACTCTATTGTTTCTTATTTATATTTTTGTCGTATTGGTTTTATTTATTTTTTAATATTTTCAATTGTGGTTGGTGAATCAAAAATCCATGGATGTGAAACCTGTGGATATGGAGGGCCGACTGTATTGTTAAGAGGTCAACACTTCCCAAATTGATCTACTGATTCAGTGCAGTCCCTATCAAAAGCCCAGCTGCCTTTTTTGCAGAAATGGATATGTTTGTCCCAAAATTCATATGAAAATGCAAGAAACCAAGAGTAGTCAAATCTTGAAATAGAAACACAGAGTTGGAGGACTTAACACTTCCTGATTTCAAAATTTACTACAAAGCTACAGCAATCAAGACATTGGGCATGTATGGGCATAAGGATAAACGTATAGATCAGTGAAATCGAATTGAGGGTCCAGATATAAACCCTAATGTTTATTATGGTCAGTTGATTTTTTTTTACAATGGTGCCAAGACTATTCAGTAGAGAAATAAGGCTTTTTAAATAAAAGGTGCTAGGACAACTGGGTATCCACATTCAAAGGAATGAAGTTGGACCCCACCTTACATCATATATAAAAATTAATTCAAAATGAATCAGAAACCTAAATGTAAGAGCTAAATCTCTTAGAAGAAACACAGGATTAAATCCTTGTGCTTGGATTGGGCAATGGTTTCTTAGATATGACAACAAAAGCACAAGCAACAAAATAAACAGATAACATTGGACTGCATTAAAATTGAAAACTTGTGCCTTCAAGGACACTACCAAGTAGGTGAAAAGACAATTCTCAGAATGGAAGAAATCATTTACAAACCATACATTTTATAAGGGACTTATTCTAGAATATATAAAGAACTCTTACAATGCAATGTTAAAAAGACAAGTGGCTGGGCATGGTGACTCACGCCTGTAATCCTAGCACTTTGGGAGGCCGAGGTGGGCAGATCACCTGAGGTCAGAAGTTGGAGACCAACCTGGCTAACATGGTAAAACCCCATCTTGACTAAAAATAGAAAATTAGCCAAGCATGGTGGCACACGCCTGTAATCCCAGCTACTTGGGAAGCTGAGGCAGGAGAATCGCTTGAACCCAGGAGGCAGAGGTTGCAGTGAGCCAAGATTGCGCCATTGCTCTCCAACCTGGGCAACAAGAGTGAAACTCTGTCTCAAAAAAAAACAAGTAACCCAATTAAACGAGTGAAATATTTGAATAGATGTTTTTCTAAAGAAGATAAACAAATGGGCAATAAGCACATAAAGAGATGCTGAGCATCAGTAGTCATTAGAGAAATGCAAGTCAAAACCAAGTGAGGTGTGATTTCACACCTACTAGGGTGGCTAGAATAAAAAAGACATAATAACAGGTATTGGCAAGGATATGGAGACATTGGAAGCCTCATACACTGCTGGTGAGAATGTTAAGATGGTCTGGCCACATCAGAAAACAGTTCGGTAGCTAAACATAGAATTACCATATGACCCAAAATTCCACTCCTTAGTATATGCCCAAGAGAAGTGACAACGTATGTCTACAGAAAAACTTGTACACAAATGTTCATGGCAGCATTATTCATAATAACAAAAAGTGGAAACAGCCTAAATATTCATCAGTTGCTGAATGGAAAAGCAAATATTGCATATCTATAAAATGGACAATTATTCAGTCATAAAAGGGAATTAAGTACTGATACATGCTACATTATGAATGAAACTTGAAAATGTGCCAAGTGAACAAAGCCAGTAGAAAAAGCCATGTTGTATGGTTTCATTTATATAAAATGTCCAAAATAAGCAAATCCATGAAGACAGAAAATAGATTAGTAGTTGCTAAGGACTTGGAGAAGGAGGCCTAAAGAGAGATTGCTATATGAAGGTTCTTTTTGGTGTGATGAAAATGTTCTAGATTAGATTGTGGTGGTGGTGATGGTGGTTGCACAATTCTGTGAATATACTAACAACCATTGACTTGTATAAAGGGGGGATTTTATGGCATGTAAATTATATCTCAATAAAGTTATGAAAAATCAGATTTATCAGATTAAAGTAGCATAGTTTCAAACATGTCAACTCACATTTTAAATTGAAATTAATGAAAATTTAAATGTTATGTAAAAAACTTATAGTTAGCTAAAATAAAAAGATACTTCTCCGAACCATTTAATGTTTATCATACTGTTCTTAGTTTCTGTTTTTTTAATTGACAGTTTTGCAAATTTAATGCAGTATTTCTCTTTTAATTTCTTAAAAATGTACTTAGATTGTCACAGTGAAAATGAGGTTTAAAAATTAAGCATAAATAAGAAATGACATGACAGAACAAGATTGTAATTACCAAACAGCTGTGTTTGATAACAGAACAGGGCAGTTCGTGCCACTGCACTCCAGCCTGGGTGACAGAGTGAGACTCTGTCTCAAAAAAAATTTAAAAACCAGTTTATTTTTGAGATTTCGTAAGTTTCCCACAATTATATAAACTGCAAGGCCTGGGAGAGAGGCAGAGAAGTGTAGGGTTAGAAAGGAAGGCTGGATCCAGCTCACACTCATAATAAGAAGGGCTATTTCTTTCTTTCTTTTCTGACTCGCTGTTTGAGAAGGTTTTTCAGATAGAGAGTTTATCAGAACCATAAGGTAAATGACTCTTTCCATACTATTGTGCAGTTATTTCCTGAATCATATTGCTGTTTGATTCAGTGTCTGGAAATCTAAATAGTTGGGATCATTGATGGATTTGTTCAGAGGCCAAAACCCTGATAAGTTTATTAATGAACATCAGGGTAATTTAATCTTCCTGAATCTTCATGGAACATTTGAAACCCATAAGGGAGAGCCACAATGTAAACGCCTACAGAAATTAGAGAATGTTAATTAAGTACATCACGTAAAGATAAATATTAACAGATTATAGCCCAAACTGATTTCAGAAGACCTGGGTTAGCATTTATGGTAAATTAATTGAGACTAGGAATGATGAGAATTTTAATGAAGTGACTGGTTTTTCTTCAGCTGCTTTCAAAATTGTGAAAACCTGGCTTGGTCCAGAAGCAGTGAGCTTGTTGAAGTTTACAAGCAAAAATGAAGTCCAGGACTATGTCAGTGTAGAATACCTGCCTCCCCACATGGGTGGAACTGTAAGTATTTGAAACTTGTTTATAAAACAATACTGGATAATGGCACATTAGGCTGTATACTTTCCTCAAGGGAAAAAGAAAAGTAGTACCATAATATGCAAAGAAATATCACAGATACCCCCAAAATAGCAAGTAGTGTTACACACATTTTTAAAGTTTTAAAGTTAATTTTTTATTTTTTAATAGGTAATATATTTATGTGGTTCTAAACTGAAGAGTATTCAGAAGAATAATGAGAAATAAGTCTTCAGTAAAAATATCACCTCCTACTTCTGTTTCCAACCACCATATTCCCTCCCCAGCTGAATTTCTTGTATTAATTTGCAGGGATATGTATTACCCATATAAACAAGTATAGTATATAATTTTTCCTCCCTCTCATCTCTTCTAAAGTCAGTGTATTTATGTGCTAGTGTGCATCCTGCTTTTCTCTTCACAGTACGTCTTATTCCAAATCAATATGTAGCAGGCTCTCATACTCATTTATGGCTGCATAGTATTCTACTATCTAGACATAAGTTAGTGAATTTCCTCTTGATGTGTCTTTAGTGTGCTTCCAATTGTTTGCTGTTCAACAGTCTTTTTAGTTAAAAAGATACTATTAAGCATATACTATCCAGATTTTTTTGAGCTGATTTTTACTACTTATAAAAAAACTGTACAACTTATGGACTTGGTACGCTTTGGGTTAACTTCATAATGTTTCACTTATTTGATTTTTTTGCAATCTATTTTTTATACTGCCTGCCTGGCAAAATTGTATTCAATCAGAACTAGCAAGAGGAATAGTTTCGATATGTCCTTCTGTTTATTGTCTTTGATTAGAAAAGACCTGAACAAATATTTTTAATTTGAAGTCTGCTTCTTTCTTATTCTAAGGCTTTATATTTCACATTTTCACCTAGAAAAACCAAATATACTTCATTTCAGGTGCTATGCTTGATTTAAAATGTGATTTTATTTATTTTTAATAATTTGCTCATAAAATTGTTATATCTTAAATAATTATAATTAATATAATTCATAACATTTTAAATAATGTTAATTTTATGTATAGAAACGGTTATTTTATTTCCCCTCTCTGTCCTTAGTGATATGTTTCTTCAGAATTACAGTCAAAATTATAGTAGGACTACTATTTTTTAACATTAATTTTTAAGTATTTTTTTTCAAAAAATAATACATATACATGATTTTTTAATAAAGTAAATACAATACCAGAGATTGAAAAGTATAACAGTACCATGAAAACTACATCTGCCTTCCCAGGTCCATGCCCACTGCCACTCCCTAAAGGCAGTCACCATCAAGTTTTCTATCCCTCTGGAGTTATCTATTACAGTTTTTTACACAATGGTCACATACCATATATATTGTCCATTTGTACTTTTTTCACATCTTTTATTTTGCAGGTTACACCATATTGATTCACAGAGGTCTATCTCATTTTTAAACCAAAATATTCCACTGTATGGACGGGTATAACATAATTGATTTAATCACTCTTCTTTTAAAGGGCTGCACTGATAGTTGTATTCTAATTTTTTGCCATTACTAGTTTTGCTGCAGTGAATATCCTTGTAATAATTCTTAATATATGTGTGCAGCGAGAATGCATACAGAATAAACTCCTAGAAAAAAATCTGTGAGTATAGTTTTTAATTTAGATAGCTGTTGCCAAATTTCCTCTAAAGAGATTGTGCCCATTTACCAATAATGTGTGAGAATTCTTGAACCACCTCCTTGCCAGCATCGCATATTCTCATTTTTGTAGTCATTGCCAGTCTCAGGTAAAAAATATTTCACTGTCATTTTAATTTGCATTTCTTTAATTATAGGTGATGTTGAAAACTTTCTTATGATTCAAAAGACAATTTTCATTCTTTTTCAGTGTATTCTGTATCCCTCTTCTGTATTGTTACAGAACTTATATAGTTCTTTAAAAATACACACACACACACACACACACACACACAAACAACATATACATTTAAAGCTTTTATCCATCTGAAATTCTTTTTGGTGTAGAGAGCGAGCTAAAGATCTAAGGTGATTCTGTATAGATGGCTAGCCAATTGTCCCACACCACTTATTGCTCTTTTTCTTTCTGGTTTGAAATGCTTCCTTTATTTTAAATTTCATGATCTAATTAAGTCTGTTTTCTTGGCCAAAGTAATGAATTGTAAATCTACTAAGAGAGTTATTTCTCTACCCACCATTTAGTAGGCTCATGTGAAATTATTTTCTTGTAGGATCCTTTCAAGTATAGCTATCCACCACTAGTAGATGATGACTTCCAGACCCCACTGTGTGAGAATGGGCCTATTACCAGTGAGGATGAAACTTCAAGTAAAGAAGACATAGAAAGTGATGGCAAAGAAACATTGGAAACAATTTCTAATGAAGAACAAACACCTCTTCTTAAAAAGGTAACTTTATAAATAAAATGAAACTGAATCACAAGATGTGGTCTATCCCCAATTCTGACACTAGCCAGCTGTGTGATTTTGGGTAATTCACTTAACCTGCTACCCTTCCACATTTTTGTGTGTAAAAAGAAAGAGGAAGGATGGGATTAGCTGACCAGAAGCACCACTTTAGTGTATTTAAGTCTGATTCCAGGCCAGGGCCTGTGTCTTATACCTGTAATCCTAGCACTTTCTGAGGCTGAGGTGGAAGGATCGCTTGAGCACCGGAGTTTGAGACCATCCCGAGCAACATAGGGAGGCCCTGTCTCTACAAAAAATAAAAAATTAGCCAGATGTGATGGTGCACACCTGTCATCCCAGCTACTCTGGAGGCTGAGTTGGGAAGATCGCTTGAGCCCAGGAGGTCGAGGCTGTACTGAGCCATGATTGTGCCACTGCACTCTGACCTGGGTGACAGAGTGAGACTTTGTCTCAAAATAAAATAAAGGCTGATTCCATGCTTTTGTATAAAGACTAGCAAAACACATCTAGAAGTAATTGTTTTATCTAAAATTTTTTTATTTGTCTAAAAGTAATTAATTTAAAACTTTGATTTAGTTCCTTTCTCTAATTTTTAAAAGAGCACTTAGTAGTTGTCACTTTTTACAAGTAATCAGGAACTTGATAGATGGATAAATACAATGTTATAATTTAGAAAAATTTAAAGACTCTTAAGGGAAGGACCATATTGTATTTTCTAGAGTAACCTATGTTATGTATAATAGTAGGCACTAAAATAGATGTTAATGGTCATGTTAATATATGCTAAATAGTTATCCTTTTTTTTTGTCTTTAGATTAACCCAACCGAATCTACTTCCAAAGCAGAAGAAAATGAAAAAGTTGATTCAAAAGTGAAAGCTTTCAAGAAACCATTGAGTGTATTTAAAGGCCCCTTACTACACATCAGGTAATCGTCAAAGATTTTATTAGCTATAATTTTATAACATATCTTGATCACCTTGAGGGAGCCACAAAATTAAGAAAACTTCTATTTGGTTTTTGAAACTGTAGAAATATAAAACCAAGAGTTATCTGAAGACTTACCTTGGTTTCCAGACGTAGTGCATATGTTTAGCTACCTTGCTTTCTTCTATTATGTTGAGTGTCTTTAAAGGGTTCTCATCACACATCAGATAATAAAACTAAATATTTATATATTAATAAATCTGAATGGCATGTATTTTCCTCACATTACTGATACTATTAGACTTGCCCAAGTTTGGGAATGCCAGAAATGACACTAAAGTAAGGATTTGTTGATTTTACTTTCCAGAAGCCAAAGATGAACTGGAAAAATAGGTTTGTGACTAAAGCCAAACTTCAGGACATCTCTATTTTTCTGCTAGGTTATTTGATTCAAAAGATTCCAGGTTGTTTCTTTCAGCATTGTATAAAGACCTTTTTCTCACTGATGATGTTTTTGGTTGGTAAATATATTTTGCCTTACGTTACATTGCTACACCAACTTTATGATCTCATGTAGCATTTTCTGTCCCTTTACTTGAAACCTTTCTGTATAGCTATGTTTTATGTATATCTCTTATGAACAATATAGCCAGACTTTTAAAAAATCTAATCTGACATTCTCTAATTGATAGTATTAGCTTGTTTACATATATTTTGATTACTGTTATATTTGGATTTATCTCCGCCATCTATATGTATGAAAGACAGCAAGCAAGAGAGACATAGATGCGCATGCATTTTCTGTTTTTCATGGTTTTTCTTTCCCATTTTCCCCCTTTGGAGTTTATCTTTTTTGTTTGTTTACTTGTTCCCATTTTTCTCCCTACTTATTTGGAAGTTACACATTCTGTTTTCACTGTAAACCTGTTACATCATAGGTCCTTGCCTGTAATTGTAGAGGTATGACAGGAAAAGCAGGCTAGGGAGAAAGCCAGACAGCTTTTCACCTGCACATTGGGCTCTGCTCCTCCCTTCCTCCGCCCCCGGTGAAGTCCCAGAGCTGCTCCTACACAGACACAAGGACCTAACCAACCTCTGTCTTCCTGGAGCTGCTCACAGTTGTTGTGCTGGTTACTAAGAACAATGAGATCCATAACCTTGTGGTTTTCTATGACTTACTTAAGATTAGGCTCTAGAAGAAAGCCAGCAACCATGCAAATTTACCACCTTATCCAAAACTAGGCAAAGCCCTTCTGGGAGAGCTCATTCTTAAAAACATGTGTTAGTTAGATTAAAAAACACTCCCAAGGTACAGACATTCCTGATATAAAATTAACCTATTTAAAGATGTATCTCAAAATCAACGGCTTGCTGAAAATTCACTTTAGTTAAATTATTCACCTTTTTATATAAAACAAAAACACTATTCTTCCCATTGTTTTGAGCCACCTGATACAATTTGGCTAATGTAACTAAACTACACAAACTGCTTGAATCTTTTAAATTTTTTTTTAGGTCATAGGCATTACAATGGAAAGTAATAGTAAAATTTAAATATTGAAGCTCATTGATTTTACTATTTGATTAGTTCTTCCTACAGCTCCCATCCCAAACTTACTTTTATGTTTACTTTTCTCCTTCCCTATTACTTAGAAAAGCTGCTATATAGTAAGAAATTATTCTGTTAAATACATTCCTAATCATCTTTCTTTTTAAGTTATGCTCTTTTCTGTTGGTGTATAGAAATATGCCTCATTCTAATTATTTGTAATTAGGTAAAGTTGAAGCAGCAATATCTTCTTTGCTTTATTATCTATAACCTTCCAAATAGTTTAAATAAGCGCACCTTAAGATAGTGCTGATTATAGGATTAATCAGAGCCTTCATAACTCTCTCTTCTGTTCTTCCTGGTTTGCTTTTGATCTTGGGGAAAACCGTAGGACTTTTTAAATAGTGTGCATTGAATCAGTAAGATTAAAATACAAAATTGTATTAGGTAATTGTTTTGTAAGTCTTTTTTGGTGAAATGTCTTTATACAAATGAGCATAAGATATTAACTAAATATTTTTCTTCAAGCTAAATGATTAGATTGTCATTTATTCTGATTATTACAAATGTCTTATGTTTTTGTCACTCCCTAGCCCAGCAGAAGAACTGTACTTTGGAAGTACAGAATCCGGAGAGAAGAAAACCTTAATAGTGTTGACAAATGTAACTAAAAATATAGTGGCATTTAAGGTAAATATCTTAAAGATACAATAAATTATGTTTGAGAATTTGACATGGGAAGTGATTTTAGACATATTCTAATTGAAAGATTGAAAATTTTGAACTTGTACAGTGTTTTTATTTATGACAATTTTTAGGCATGTTGTACTACCTTCTGGTTCTAACCAAGTCGCATAGCTTTATCAAAAAATTTTCCCTGAGGTCTGTATCTGAATCTTTTACGTGCAGTAATAGGTTAATGTCTAAGTTAATACAAGGGTTTAATGTTTGTTGTAAATAACAACCCAAGAAAAATTACTCTTTACTATGTGAATAATTTAATTTATAATAACAGTGAAACATAAAACTATAAAATTGATAGTGCATTTTCCCCAAGTGTGGTATATTCTGGAGTGTAGTTTATATCGGATATTAACCTGATACTGAGCATTAAGTGTAACAAGACTAAGTCCGTCACTACCCCGTATTGTAGGTTTTCCTGCCTTAAATCTTCTATTTAATTTAGATGTAACTACCAGGATGTTCCTGATGTGCTTTGATTATCTACTGTTTTTTAATTTCTGAACACCATGGTATTAATAACATGCAATCTAATGTGCATTCTGTTTTTGTGAATTTATGTCATTAAATTCAGGCAATTAACAGGATAAATATTTAACAGATGGATTGTTTTATTTAAGAGGGAGTCTGAATGACAATTTGACTTATATATGAGTATGTTTTTAGATAGGTCGAGATGCTTTTTTCCTGTTAGTGGGGAAAAAATACCTTCTATGCATAATCGTCAATGTTACTTTGTAAACTCTTTGTTCATTGATTATTCACTGCTAATTTTTTTTTTAGGGAGATATACCTAATGCTAAATGACGAGTTAATGGGTGCAGCACACCAACATGGCACATGTATACATATGTAACAAACCTGCACGTTGTGCACATGTACCCTAAAACTTAAAGTATAATAAAAATAAAAAAAATAAAAATAAAAATAAAAATAAATTTTTTTAAAGTCATTCTTAAGCCATTTCCCCCCAAAAAAGCATAAAGGTTGTTATGTGACTACTGTGTTTATAAATAGGTGAGAACAACAGCTCCAGAAAAATACAGAGTCAAGCCAAGCAATAGCAGCTGTGACCCGGGTGCATCAGTGGATATAGTTGTGTCTCCCCATGGGGGTGAGTTGTCACTTAGTAGCCACAGCAGGTGTTGGGTGTGGTGGGGGTAAGGGGACCTGGACCTTGGCTCTGAGTCAGCAGAGATGTCAGGCTAGAATCTAGAAATTAGCAGAGTATCACGAGTCACCTCACCTCGCTGTAGACATCTTTTTTCCCACATGTGAAATGGGGTGGTCAAAGAGGTCTCTAAAGCCCTTTCCAGCATTAAAATGTATTGTTTCTAACAAGTAAAATTGTTTAAACTGACACCAATTGAAATTGAATTTCAAAAGAGAAATTTCCTCACTTTTAGAACTTTTTCCTTTTTAAAGACATTTCCATTTTCTTCTTTTTCCTTAATGTTGAGTTCCAGAATAATGCTTTAAACCACATGCATATCCAACCGCTTTGAAGGTTCCTGTTTATATGCTGAATTACCCTTTTGGAATGCAGGTTTAACAGTCTCTGCCCAAGACCGTTTTCTGATAATGGCTGCAGAAATGGAACAGTCATCTGGCACAGGCCCAGCAGAATTAACTCAGTTTTGGAAAGAAGTTCCCAGAAACAAAGTGATGGAACATAGGTAAGCTTTTCCCTCACATTCTTCTCAAATGTAGTGGGAAGAATCAGAAAGAGAAAAGTGCCTCCATGGACCAGGTGGCCTCCCTTTCTTCTTGCATCTGCTGGGTGCCCTGCAAGGCTCTGGGGATGCCCAGATGAAAGAGACCTGGTGTTGCTCAAGGAGGTCACTGATAGCAGAAACTCATTTGCAGGCCAGTGCAAGAGTCTGGATCTGTCCAGATCACAAACACAGATTGTCTCAGCAGTTCTCCCTGTAGGAGTGCTTACCTTACATACTAGAATGTTTTTTGCAGCATTGTTTGTAATAGTGAAAAACTGGAAAGAAAGAATCTAAATCGTAACCAGTAAAGCAATAGTGAGATACATTTGAGTATATCCACACTAAAGTGTGCTGCAACCACTCATAAAGGTACAGCAAGTCTATTTGTTCTGACATGGAAAGACATCTGTGATATATTTTAGAAAACAAATCTAGTGAGAAAAATTGGTTATGGACATTATTCTATTTAAGAGGGGGAAAAACTTGCATATATAGATATATACATGTATGTGCATGTATATAGATATATCAGGTTGTGACAAATTTCTTGAAAAGATATGTAGAAAAGGAGAATAGAAGGGGCTGTATTGTAGTTTTGCTTTTTTTAAATTGGAATTATGGTTTATTGGAGTGTTCACATTTTTCCCCCCAGGGGACATTTGTCAATGTCTGGAGACACTTTTGGTTGTCACAACTGGGGGATGGGGTACAGTGGGCATCTAATGGGGGCAGCATAGGGATGCTGCTAAACCACTAGCAGTACACAGGACAGCCCCATCCCCCAAAAATGATCTGGCCCCAAATGCCCATAGTGTCGAGGTGGAGAAATCCTGCTTTATAGGGTAGTTAAGGATGGCCACTCCGATGACATTAGAGTAGGCCCTGAAGGAAATGAGAGAGCAAGCCACATAGATAACTGGACAGAGACCTTTCCAGACAGAACAACAAATGCAAAAGGAGTGTGCTTGGCCTTTGGGAGGAACAACAAGGAAGTCACTGTCTCTTGACTCCAGTAAGGGAGGAGCATGGTGAGAGATGGGGACAGAGATAGTAGGATATCAGATCATCCCTATGGTGAGGACTTCTGAGCGAGAGGAAAAACTATTAGTTGGCACTAAGCAGAGCCATGAGGTGATCCGGGCTTATTTTTTTAAAGGATTCTTCTGGGTACTGTGTAGAAACTAGACGGTGGGCAGTGATACCAAGTTCACACTAAAGTGGAATTTGCTGTATGCCAGCACTGTTCTAGATGCTTTAGACATATTGATTCATTCAGTCATGAAGACAGCCCTGTGAGGGAGAAAGGCATTTTTCCTACTTTATAGAGAAGCTGGGAAACCTGATAATGGCTATGGTTGAATGAAACCTTCAGGGCTGGGCGCAGTGGCTCACACCTGTAATCCCAACACTTTGCGAGGCTGAGGTGGGAGGACTGCTTGAGCCCAGGAGTCCAAGACCACCCTTGGCAACATAGGGAAACTTTCTTTCTACAAAAAATCAAAAGCTTAGCTGATAGATCATGAAAATAGATTATGAACAGTGAAATTCCTGAGAAGGCTGAAAGTGCGGGGAACCAAAGCAGGGGAGATTAGCCTTAGTCCGGAGGAGGGAGAAGCAGATGGAAGTCAGCAGCCTGCCTTGTTTTTACGTGTAATATTTAAATTTTCAAATTGTATTACAGGAGGGCCTACTTTCTGTTTTTATCAAGAGTTTTTCTTTTGTTCAAAGACACTGGTTATGGGAATATTTTGAAAGGGTAAGAAACGCTGGTATAAAAGGTGTTGCAGATTAATTTGAAGTTCTTACGAAACAGTCCCTCAAAATGAAGGGTTATTTTTGGTTTTGTTATGTTCGAGTTGCTTTGTTTTCTTTGTTTTTTGCTTTACCAATTACTGATGGCTTGCTTTTCTATAACTGTGAGAGGAGATCACTGTTCTCCTGCAGAAAGTGGGAGGGAGGCTTGATGGTGGGGTACTGAAGCTCAAGGAAAGTACCTTTCTCCTATCTAGAAAGGGTGATTTCCTTCAAATCATAAGATATTTGGATGAATTCTACTGAATACCATATAAACACTTTCATTTGAATTTTACCGAATGGTATCTGCAATATGTTGTGTTCCTTATACATGCATTAATTAACGAAGCTGGAAGATACATATACACAGAGCAACTGTCTTAGGTGAACCTGGGGAAGAGGAATGAGGACTTTTACCTCTGTTACATAGACTTCTGTGTATAACTGTTTTCATTTTATATTTTACTTTTATAAGAAAATTAACTTTTTAAGAAGTTATGTTTTCTTTGGATTTTAATAGGTTAAGATGCCATACTGTTGAAAGCAGTAAACCAAACACTCTTACGTTAAAAGACAATGCTTTCAATATGTCAGATAAAACCAGTGAAGATATATGTCTACAAGTAAGTATACTTTCTTCCTACCCAAACAAAGTTGTTAATGCTGATCAACATTAGAAATCCCTTTTTTTCTCACGGACATAAAGAAAAACATTTGGCATAGACACGATAGAAATACTGTCTTCTTTGTGAAGAGATGCCAAATCAGAAATGGTAAGCAGGCCAAGTGTGGTGCTGCCTGTAATCCCGGCACTTTGGGAGGCCGAGGCAGGAGGATCACTTGAGCCCAGGAGTTTGAGGCCAGTCTGGGCAATATAGCGAGACCCTGTCTGTACAAAAAAATTAAAAATGAGCCAGTTGTGGTGGCACACATCTATAGTCCCAGCTGAGGCAGGAGGATTGCTTGACCCTGGGAGGTCAAGGCTGCAGTGAACCATGATCATGCCACTGCACTCCAGCCTGGGCAACAGAACAAGACCATTTCTCAATAAAAAAAGAAAAGAAATGGTGTAAGCAGTGAGTTATTTTTGGAGATCTACTAACCATTTGAAAGCTCTGGCCATTTTTAGCAAAGCACAAGGTACTTTGGGGAGTATCAAATAATTCAGTCTTGCAGAAAAAAGTACCAATTAGTGCATTTAAATTTGAAAGAGACAGAGGGGCTCTCTGAGTAGCTGAAGGCTGCTTAAGGGTTTCTGTACCTCTAGGAACTGACTGCTCTGCTCCTGTCTCAACTAGAAATTCAGACCTCTCAAAATGAGAATAAGCATAGACATATCTGTCCACCAAACAAATCTAATGCCCTGTTGCACTTCCACCTCCTTCCACCAGCCTTACAGAGTAGTGGGCCCCATCCTTTCAGTGTTTGGATTTCTAGTATTCCTGTTTGTCATGCCCATGATTAATGGCTGTTTTATTGATATAAATCTTTCATCCCCTCTTCCCTCTTCAGCTCAGTCGTTTACTAGAAAGCAATAGGAAGCTTGAAGACCAAGTTCAGCGTTGTATCTGGTTCCAGCAGCTGCTGCTTTCCTTAACAATGCTCTTGCTTGCTTTTGTCACCTCTTTCTTCTATTTATTGTACAGTTAAAGAAGTGGTGCCGGGTAGGAACCACGGTTCCTTCGTCCATTAGTTGGAAAAAGTAACAGACCTAAAACTCTACCAAGCTACTAAAAACATTGCACATCTGTGCTTCCTAAAAGGAAATATGCAGCACGTGGAGGGGAACACATACATGTCTTGAAAATAAACTGCTAGAATAAAGAAATGCTGGAGAAATTGATTATAAGAGACTATAGCTATTTAGTAAAGTAAGTAAAGGCATATCCATTGTGTAAATTAATAGTTTAAATATAATTTATTTTTTCCTTTTGATCTGAATACTTTTAAAGCTTAAGTTTTATCGTGTAAATACATTAGCTAAACTGAAAAGTATAAGTAACATGCTTTGTTGCAGCCAAAAAATGTAATCTGCTTTTTTATGACAGAATTATTATAGCTGAGCTGACTTACTAGCTTTTCTATACTATGTATATAGAAGAACATGTATATTGAGAAAGAAAACATACTTATATAGAGGAATTTATGTAACCATGACTTTGTAATTTTGAGAATTCCTCCCAGTGATGGTCAGTATTCTTTTGGAATGTAAACCGATTTAATGCCAAACCACCTTAACCTTTGTTTCTCAGTGTTCCTTAACAGCCTGCCTTTTATTAATCTCAGGCTTTTTTATGAACACTCTCATTTCAGTAGAATTTGGAAAACTAAGCGTGGTTGGAATTTCTTTGAATTCTGTTAGTAATGCCCAAAAGAAAAGTCTCAAGCAGTCCCCCTATCCAGTCATTTTTATGGAGTTTCATGTTGTCCACTATAGCTGGACACTGAACCTTTTGCCTAATTTATTATAAAGGCCTGACCCTCTATTGTCCCATCTTCACCCCCATTCCAGAGCAGAGGAGTCTCTGTGGACCATGAATTGCACTGTCTCCCTCCTCATTTCTAAATGAAAGGTATTAGATATAAATTTTTTTGAAAGGTTAGTTGTTTGAGATGCTAAGCAGGATAATAAATTTAGATTTTAAAATGTTCCCTGTAAAAGTCAGCCCATGACAAGGAAATTTACAAAATACTAGAGTATCTAGAAGGGTGAAAACAAAAAAAAATAAAAAGAAACACAGACGCCCAGGTGTCAGCTCTCCGTTTAAAGAATGAAAAATGTAACTCATGATGATCTGTGAAACCTTCAAACTAGGACCAATTGACTTACTTGATATTCTGCCTTTGATATGGTAGTACCCACCCGGTATTCCTAAAATCCTAAAAAGATACACCTTGCAGTAGCAGAGGCAATGACATGAGTTTGTTTTCTCATTAATATGACCAGTTTGGGTCTATGTTGGTTCACATGTACATCTACTTTATATGAAAGAAAAAACAGTTGTCTGCCTGTAAAATGTTGAGTTTCGATTGAGCCATGTTTGGAGATTTTATTACTATTCTGAAGGGTAGTGTTGTTGGTTTTCATCTTCAAGAAGTTGATTCCAAAACTGAGTTATGAAGAATGATATAACAGTTCCTTCAAAATTGGCCTAGGAAATAAAACCTTAAAAGGACACTGGTGTGCTACTTTGTCTTAATTTGGGCTTTTCTGTTTCAGTTTGCCACCTCCAGCTGTGAAATGGACTGCAGTCCACCCTAAGTACTGTGCACAGTATCTCCCTGTGTGTGTGCACAGTGGCTTCCCCTTACATGGTAGATTTTTGGCCTTAATATAATCTAATCCCAAAGTAGTTGTGTATGTTTTCTGTTCCTTGGCAAATAAATGAAGAAATAATTAGCC
Source organism: Homo sapiens (assembly GCF_000001405.40). NCBI lineage: Eukaryota > Metazoa > Chordata > Mammalia > Primates > Hominidae > Homo > Homo sapiens. The sequence continues at coordinate 14,921,563 of NC_000023.11, forward strand.
AAGATTGAAAATGTATTGTCCTAACGGTGTCCCTTTAATGTTTCATATGAAAAATTATGTTGACCCACTAAAATATCCTTGCTCAATGTCTGGTCAGTTGAATTTAATAACATATCTTGTTAATGTTTGTGTGTCTATTAAATGTGACTAAGCAGGATTACTGAAAATTCACTATAAAATCAAAGGCATCTAAACGTTTGTACTTGTCTTGATTAATCATATATTTACACTTGATTTTTTTCTGTCTTCATTTGTTTTTATTTAATCATAATTGCATGATTTTTTTGGTACTCTAATCAGTAATTTTATTTTTAATCATGTCATTACCTATTCATGACCAAATTACCAAGGAACCAACATTTAGATTTAGATATTTGTTTTCACTTAGGAATGGAAATTAATAGATTTTCCATGAAAGCATTAGTGAAATATCATTACCTTGATCTGCAAGTAGCCTAAAAATGCGATTGCTGGTAAACCTGGCCTCAAATTTCATACTACCATAACTGTTTTTATATATTGCCACTAATTTTGACTGGATTTAATAGCACTTTATTGTACAACTACAAAAAAAAATATATTCCTAGAATTGTTGCCAGTGTAATTTCTCTAATGTTCTGGTGCTTTTCATATATTTTCAGTATTTTTATTACTATATTGGTATTTTCTTTGTATAAATTGATTGATTAAAAGAACATGTTTTCTATTTTAATATGTTTTAGAAAAATAATTACATTTATGAAATAAATATCATCAGGAAAAAAACCTCTGGTCTCTAATTGATAAAGCATCTTAAAGAAAATCAATATTCAACCTCACTCTGACCTTTTAAAGATCATAGTAATTTCTTTTGGATCTGCTTTGCATTTTTATAAGGACAGTGCTGCAGGCCTCCAAAGATACAATTCAATGTCAGGTTAGCCTGTCCTTTAGTGTGTCCTGTTTCTGCTCGTCCCCGTGTCGGGTGTAGCTGCTCTTCAGTGTAGTTCTTCGTTTTCCCCAGACATAGCATTGGACCCACTGTCATGCTTACAGCTCATTGTGGAGCCTGTTGCTGGAGCTGCAATGAGTCAGAATTGCCACGTAGTTTCCCCAGTCCTAGTATCCACACATAGTTCTCTCTGACAGCAGCAAGCAGGAGGCAGGCTAACAAGAAGTCTGCCCAACTGCCAGACACACAGGGAAGATAGCAGTGTGGCACTGATCATTCTGAAATCAGACAACATGCTCAGGACCCGGGACCTGGGGGGTGTTGCAGAGGGGCAGCAGGGAAGCCCAGGATGGTGATGTTAGAGGTTCTCAGGGTTGTTGATGTCTGGTCTGTCACCACTGAAATATACAACCTCCCAAATGGCAGCTACCTCTCCATAAAAATAGCATGAATGGGACAGGTCCCTCTTCTACACTGAAAAATATGTGGAGATAACAAAATCAGGTGGTTAAAGAGTCCCAACCCTCTGATAAATTCAAAATAGAGCCACAAAGAATGTTAACCTGCCAACAAACACCATACCAACCCGGGATGTGACAGGGTGGTCTCCGTCCCTAAAGGGCACAATTTTCTAGGAGACTAGAGCTCCTGTCAGGAAAATCTCCAGCTAGGTAGGAAAGGATTGATGACTTTACAACAGTCTTCAGCTCTTTCTCCCCTAAATGTTTACCATCAACTCTAGGTTTCCTGACATCAGAACAATATGGGCCCTCAAAAGCATAGGGCTCCCCCTCTCTCCCTGGCCCAAAGAGACACACTAGAAATCTTCTGTTCCAACTGAAACAATGGTTGTTGGGAGTGAGGGCTCTGAGGTAAGACTACCTGTGTGACTTGCGAAAGTTAGCCAGTTTCAGCCTGCTTCCCTAAGTGATAATCATAGTACTACTCCACAGGTTAGGTGTGAGAATGAGAGAAAATAATGCATTTAAAGCATGCATGGAGTCTAGCCTTGCTTTGTTAATATATTGCCTCCACCTCCTTGTCAATTCTCTAAACTTTTTCCTGTTTTTTATCCACTCTTGTATTCTTGGCACCTCAATAAAATTATCAAATCAGTTCTTTCACAGCTGCATCTTAATTTGTCCTTATGTTGAATAAAAATTATCTCCCTGTAATGTCCAAAGAGTCTCATACCTTCTTTATTCCCCACTCATGTTGCCTGCCATGAAGAGTGAGACCAATCTCTTCCACGTGTTAAAATATTTGAAGACGACTGGTTTAACTGACAAGAATACAGAGAAATATCTCCCTGACCCATAGGGACAAGATTTGTGCATATTTTCAAGTCTTCCTAGAGGGAAAATTTGAGTGGTCCTTGAAACCAGCAGTTTTCCCACGCTTATCTTGAGCAGTCTTAAGACAAAACATACTTGTCATAACACGCAAATATGGTTGAGCAGCTTGAGTCAGATACCAAATAATTTTTTGGTCATAAGTGGAATACATCATAACATCTTGTCTTTTATAGGTAAGGAAACCAAGGGTCCAGGAAGTAATTTTTTCCCAAAGTAACATGACTAGTTGGTGTCAGAACAAAGAGTTTAATCTTTCAAGTCCAGTGCTGTCGTAACTGCCCAGAGCTGCCACATTTGAGTAGTAGGTTAAAATGCTGAACAGGTAGGTCTGAGAACTTTACTTCACCAACAGTATGAGAAGAAAAAAGAATGAAGATAAAATACTTGAGAAGCAGAGGTGACAAAGTAAAATAGCCACTCAGGACCCTTGGCTGGAAGTTTTTTGGTATTCTAACCTATAGACAGACTGCATTAGTCCATTCTCACACTGCTATAAAGAACTACCTAAGACTGGGTAATTTATAAAGAAAGGTTTAATTGGCTCACGGTTCTGCAGGCTACACAGGAAGCATGGCTGGGGAAGCCTCAGGAAACTTAACAATCATGGGAGAAGACAAAGCAGAAGCAGGCATGTCTTACGTGGCTGGTGCAGGAGGAAGACAGAGAAGGGGGAGGTGCTACACACCTTTTAAAAAACCAAATCTCATGAGAACTCACTATCACAAGAACAGCAAGGGGGAAATCCACCCCCACAATCCAGTCGCCTCCCACCAGGCCCCTCCTCCAACATTCCCCAATTTGGCATGAGATTTGGGTGGGGATGCAAATTCAAACCGTATCACAGACCATATTTTCAAAAAGGTTTTAAACATACAGGTTAACATATGTTTGCTTTGTGGAGTGGTTTGATGTGCAGCATCAACCTTCAGGGAGGTTTATTCATCTCTCTGTAGAAGGGCATATAGTAGGGTGTGTTGCCACCAGTTGTCTCAGGAGCCATCATCTAGTAGCCTGAACAGGTCTTGTATTTAATAAAATCAGAGCACATATGTTAGTTTTCTATTGCCATATAAAAAATTTCCACAAGCTTAGCAGCTTAAAACAGCACAAATGTATTACCATCTCACAGTTTCTGTGGGTTGCAGTGGTACAGCATGGCTGGGTTCTCTGCTCAGGGGCTCGGTAGTCTGAAATCAAGATGTCAGCTGACTGCATCCTCCCTGGAGGCTCCACTAGGTAAAGATGCACTTTCAAGTGCCTTCAAGTTGTTGGCACAATTCATTTCCTTGTGACTATAGGACTGAGATTGTCAGTTTGCTAGCAAAAGGGACTACTCTCAGCTCCTAGAGGCCCCTCCCAGGTCTTTGCAGCTTCCCACCCCTATAGGCAGTTTCCAGCATGGCTGTTGCTACCTCCAATCTTCCTTCAGAAAGGGCCGAGTTCCTTTTAAGGGCTCACCTGATTAAGTCAAGCCCACCCAGGACAATATCCCTTGGGATCAACTCTAAGGTAGTTTATTCAGAACCTTAATTATATCTGCAAAATTCTTCTTAATCATGGGAGTGATACCCCATCACATTCACAAGCAACACCCCACCCCCGTACTCAAGGAGAGATGCTTGGAGTGTGTTGGGTGGGACCTGCAAACTCATCCAATTCAGTCCCCCAGGAAACAGAGGGTTGAAAAGCTGAACTCAACCTTAAGCAGTGTGATTGACAGCTTTGAATTCACAGATGTTCCACACCTGAAAGGAAATAGACTAGAACTTCTTCATTAGGCACCAAATGGCGGGTGTTGAGACAACATATCTCTATCTTAGTTGGCTTTCTCTAGTCTCGCAGCTTCAGTTCACACAAGTATTCAAACTTTTATAAGTAAATTGTTAGAGGAAAGTATGTCACCACTATTTTAAACATTTATTCAATCATAAAAAGCACTTAAGAAAGATTCTCACAATGAGTTAATTTGCTAGGACAAAGGGTACTTCCAGTAATTGTGTTCTTTTATAAATGAAGCTCTAGTGAAAGCAATTAGCTTTTTTAACTTTCCCTTTTCTTTCAGAATAATCCATTTGCTTCAGTTAATTTGAGTTAGTTTTCTTAGACATAAATATGCTCCGTGGATGTAAGTAAATAAGAAGGTTAAAACTATTTAAAAAAAAAAAAAAAAGGAAACAATTCTTACAGAAACCTGCATCATGATATCCAACATTTATACTGTCCAATTTACTTTGGATTAAATTCTAGTGCCTTGAATTCTATTATACCAGAAAGTCCTCTGCACATTTTCAGGTTGTTCTGGAGCTATGTATACATGTATATGTGTTTAAAAATCTCACTGATTTCTTGGTTCATTTTGGAAATCATGTACATATGTGTGTATTCTTAATAAGTTTCTGAATGCAAGAAATTTCCAAAACTCCTAATATTATGCCTGACCCTTTCATTGCTGAATCTGAGACTATAACAAACCAAGAAGCCAATCATTTCTGTTTCTCAATCCAGTACCTATTTATCTTTTTTGCATCAAGTTTTCACTCTAATACTATCATACAGATTCGTTCAGTAGAACTTATGAAATTTGCCCTGAACTGTCTTCGCCCACTACCGTGCAAATATGGTTGAACAACTTGAATCAAATACCAAATAACTGTTTTCAGTCATAAACTAAATGTCAAAAATGTGTTTTGGGTACTTTTCCAATATTCTAGATTCTGTGACTCCAGCTACTTCCTTTTAGTGGGGGTGCAGAGGAAGGAAGCTATTATTAGAAGCAATAACAATAGTATAACACAGTCCAGAAGAATTTAATTTTTTAAAATGTGGCTGAACTGGTAAGTTACTAAAAAGGATAAGTGAAAGGAAATTGACGTAAAAAGCAAAGCTTCCTTGCAAATCCTGTATTTACTGCTCTGGGATTTCTTAAAACTGCTTAAGAACTTAGTCATTAAAGGTGGAAGTGCATCTTACACAGGAGCTATATTCTAAAGTCAGTGCTTAGGATAGAATTGAGTATAGTTAGAACTGTTCTTTAAAAATCATTAGGAAGATGTCAGCTGGGTTCGGTGGCTCATGCCTGTAATGCCAGCACTTTGGGAGGCCGAGGTGGGTGGATCACCTGAGGTAGGGAGTTAGAGACCAGCCTGACCAACATGGAGAAACCCCATCTCTACTAAAAATACAAAATTAGCTGGGCATGGTGGCGCATGCCTGTATTTCCAGCTACTCGGGAAGCTGAGGAGGAGAATGCTTGAACCCAGGAGGCAGAGGTTGCGGTGAGCCAAGATCGCGCCTTTGCACTCCAGCCTGGACAACAAGAGTGAAACTCCGTCTCAAAAAAAAAAAAAAAAATCATTAGGAAGGTGCCACAACAGAAATGGCCATAATAACTCATATCTTGGTGAATTAAACATTCATTTTTAACACCAGGTAAAGTATTTGGTTTACTTATTATTTTGCCAGGAGGAGGGGTCATGTAGTCTAATAAATATATGTACTGTGTCTTTAAAACTAGAATCACCATCAGCAAGATTCTCCTGCTTTAAGAAGCACAAGAGAATTGAGAATGAATGAAAGAAAAACATTTTTATTTACCATTCTACATGTGTGGAGTGGAACAGACCTTCTTCATTCTAAGAGTTAAGATGTAAGTGAGGTCGCTCACATAGTCAGGGCCAAAATCCGAACTGAAATCTGATCTTCCTCTTAGACAAACCTCTAAAAAGGGCCCTCAGGACATTTCCACTTGCATCCCTCTCCTTGTGGTCACACTCCAGTCTATTGTTTACATCCATCACTCTGGCAAAACAGTACAGTGTACTTGCTATGGCCCAGCAATGACCTCGTTGTTGCTTCTTCCAATGGATCCGCTTCGACTTGAGTCTGAAGTGAGTTCTTGCAGCAGCATTTGACTATATCAACCACAAGTTTTGTGAGACAACAAACTCCTGCTTTTTTCTCTCAGTGATATTCTTCAGTTTCCTTTACTGGCTCATCTTCCTTCGCCAAGTCTTTAAGATGTTGAAGTCAGAACTGAACTCTCTTTCCTCGCTCCCCTTTAGGTTAACTCCTCCAGACCCATGGCTGCAATTACCATCAATAAGCCATTAACCCTTGTATATTTCTAACCCAGACTTCCCATTTTAAGTTTAGACACACATACCCAGTATCACCTCAGCATTTCCAGGTATCCAACAGAAAATGTCAAAACCAACCTATAGCCTTGTCTTCCATCCTCATCTCAATGGATGGTAGGCTAGGCTAGGCTCCACCCATGTGACAAGTACTGTATTATGCTATGTTCTGGGGACTAGATGGTGAATACTTCATGGAGTGTATAGTCTAATGGGGAGTGAGGCATTAATAAAAGTTGTACGAATTTTTAAATACAAGCTGTAATGAGTTTCATGAAGAAAACATGGTGGTGTCATGGGAGAATCTAATAAGGGGACCTCCATCCATTTACACCAGCTAGAAACTGAACTCCATCCTTGACACCACAGAGCCCACCCCTTGCCAATTCTCCCTCTTCATTGCCACCCTCACTTTAATCCACAGCTCTGTCACTTGGACTCCTGCAACAATCTCATGTGGTCTCTGGGCATCTTCTACAATCCTTTCTCCATACTGATTCAGGAATATTCAGGGCCTATTGAAACTGCACATCCAGTCATATCTCTCCCCTGATTAAAAGCTTCGAGTTGCTTTCATGGCTTTTCAACAATGATTAAACTTCCTAACTTGTCCTACAAAGTCCTGAATGATGAGCGGTTGCCTGCTTTCTGGCCTCATTCCCCTTGCTCCCTCTTCATTGTTCAATCCCATTCTCTGCTTGGAATTCTTCATCTCAGCCTTTCACCTTTACCGCTTCAGGATTGCTCTCAGCTCACCATTTGCTCAGAGAATGAATCCCTCATCCCAGGAATGTAGGTAGTCATGTCCCCTTATCAGATGCTCCCATGACGCCACCATGTTTTCTTCATAACACTCATTATAGCTTGCATTTAAAAACGTGTACAATTTTTATAATGCCTCATTCCCAATTAGACTATAAACTCCATGAAGTATTCACCGTCTAGTCCCCAACACGTAGCACAATACCGTACTTGCCACATGGGTGGAGCCTATCTGATGAAAATATTCCTGAACTTATAAAAAAATAGACTATTTTTCAGTTCTAGGCTAGCCTTCCTTTTCTTCATTTCCAGCTTTTTGCCTCATGTACATCAATCAACTGACATTCATCAAGCACAGCTTTAGGCAAAGCATATAACTTGGTGCTCTAGGGGGAAAAGCATGTATAAGAGACAGTGGCTGTTCTCAAAGAATCTGGAATAGCTGGTCTGCAGCTCTAATGGGAATCATAGGTCAGTAGAGCCCTTGTCTCTCCAAGACTTGCAAAAACATTTCTTCTGTCATGGACTCACTACAGCAGGATAGTGTTTGGACTCACCCAAATGTTTAATGAACAGGGAGCTTCCCCCAGCTTTTCTTACCCTCTACTCACATCACAGCAGGGACAACTATGCCCCATTAATATCATGCTAGAGCAGTTTTTCAGGCGCTGTTTTCTATCTCTGTAGGCCTGCATTTTCTCAAGTAGGTCCCTTAGAACACTAATTCCATAGTTTATACTGGGCCAAAAAGTTTCCCTTGCCATGTAATTTTGAGAAACATCGCGTTAAACAAAATTAAAGTTTTCCCCCATAGAATTTCTCAGAATCTTTAGTGTACTAATGTGTATGACAAATCTCTGAGAATATTATGTATTTCCCAAATTTATAAAATCATGGAATCCGCTTTTCAAGCACTACGTTTTGGGACTAAATATCCTGAGAATACATTGTGTTGAGGGTTTTAACACAGAGTTGAAGGGTTCCTGTGTGCCTGTAGGCCCAATCTGCAACAGAAATGTAAAACAGAGCTGAAGGTGATGGTCAAAGTTAAAATTCCACAACACTGGTAAATAAAGGAGAGAAGATTTACTGCTAAAGCCCAGGATAGATCTTTGTATTCTCATTTTCTTAATTCCATTTGTAAAATTAATTGGATGTGACAGCATGTGTATTTTAACTAAAAGCTGCATGTAGTCCTGAAGACCTTTCTGTGGATTTGCATTTCTATGTCCTATTTTTCCCGCTATAGCAATTCATAGTTTAGTCAGGGCCAGATTGCACACATCTGACTCTCTCTTCCTTCTTATCCCTATATGGACTAATTTTTGTCTGTCATCTTTCTGTGGATTGGTTAAATATGTGAAACGTGTTTGAGACTCTCTGGGATGGAAGTTCATCATGACAACCAGCCATTATTGCTCTCTGCTCGCTGCTCAGCAGGACTTCAGCCAACCCACACATAGCTTGGGGTGCAAGCTCCTGGCAGTTAGGCAGTTATTACCTGCAGGACACACACCTGCCTTTGGCTTTCATTGACTTAGGGGCAAATCCAAGTAGACCTCAGGGGCATTATGAGGTTCCTATGCATTTAGGGGAATTCATTATAGATCCTAAATATAAGTATGGAGATAATACTTGCTTAAAGCTAATGGTATTTTGTAAGTATTGTCAGACTTGGATTTAACTGCACGTAATTCTTTCATCTCAGCCTGCTTCTCTGTGGATGTTAATGGCATTTCCTTTTTGAGTCTTCTTTTCCATATTGCTGTTTCTCTGAAGACAGAAATTCTGCTGAGTTCTTCACCTTCATTCCAGTAGTATTTTCTTCTTCACTTACATCTTTGAATTTCAATTCGTAGCAGAGTTTTAGCGAATTGTACCCATTAACCCTTTCATTTCATGGCTTAAAATCAATATACATTTTTATTAAAGGGTCCAGAAAAAAAAAGGCAACTCTGAGCTTCCTACATCCAAACACATTTTATTTACCACAGGAACATCTTTCTGCTACTTCTTGAATCTAATGTTCTTTGACTAGATTATACAGGAAATTTCTGAGTTCCTTTTCTTGCCCATGGGACTCATTAGCCAATATTGTATTTTCCTGACCTCCAGTAAATAGCATGTGTAACAGTATTACACTGTTTGCTAGGCAGTCCCAAAGCAGACACGCTTGAATCAAAGGGACTGAAAGTTCAAAGTTCTATGGTTTCAGAAAAAGTAGGAATAAAAATGTGCCTTGTGTCCCCTTAGCAATAAGCTTGGAAAAGCCAATCAATTATAATGGAGATATAGAGCCATCAAAGAAATACCACTTCTTAAGCAGGGCCAGGTAACCTTAGAGAAAGATCAATAAGAAGTCCGTGGACCTTTGCCAAGAGTGTTTTCGAAGGAATCATTGAAAAAGGAGCCAGAGTCTGATTTAAGAAGGGCTGGGATAGGGCTGTAGATTCTGCATTTCTAACAAACACCTAGGTTATGCTGATGCCAAAGTGCCTAGACCACACTTTGAGTAACAAGCCTTTAGAAATTTTTGGAAAAGACACATCTCAGGACTCATCCCAGATGAATCAGAATCTACATGTTCACAAGATCACAGGTTCCCAAGTGATTCATATGCACGTTAAAGTTTGAAAAACATTCATCAAAAAGACTCCCACCTTTTATTCAAAAGTCTTTTTTTCTCTCTCTTTTTTTGAGGCAGGGTCTGTCTCGCTCTGTCTCCCAGGCTGGAGTGTGGTGATCTTGGCTCACTGCAACCTCTGCCTTCTAGGCTCAAGCCATCCTCCCACCTCAGCCTCCCAAGTAGCTGGGACTGCAGGTGTGCGCCACCATGCCCACCTAATTTTTGTATTTTTAGTAGAGACAGGGTTTTGCCATGTTGCCCAGGCTGGTCTTGAACTCCTGGGCTCAAGCAATCCTGCCACCTCAGCCTCCAAAAGTGCTAAGATTACAGGTGTGAGCCATTGCACCTAACCTAAAAGTCTTTTTTTTTTTCTAAATGCCTTCTCATTTTATTTGACTGTTAAACATTTTCTAGGCTGCAACAGTTGTGGTTAAAACTGTTATGATCTTTTGTGGGTTTTGCTAGCCAAGTAGTTTACGGCCATTTATAAGCGGGCTATGTTATGTATGTATATTCTTTAAAATGAATTAAATATTTATTGAGTCTTTTCTAGGTGCTGTGTACTGTGCTGGACATTGTTACAAAGAGGGATAAGATGTGCTGTCTGTTCTCAGGGAATCACAGCTATATGGTGAAATGATCCTAGCCCAGATTTAACATAGGATATCTCTAAGTGCCATAAGGTGGGAAGTGGAGAGACACTATTTCCACAAAAGGAGCTATTTTTGTCATGAAACATCTTCATTTTGTACCATGATCACTAAAGATGACATTTTCCAGCTGGCCATGATCCAGAAATTCACAGATTCTAGGTGTGTTTACTGTAAATAAGCCTAGACAAACCTTGACAAAAGCATTCTATAGATAAGGACTCCCATTTGCAAATACCATCAGGAAATCCAATTAGCAAATTCACAAGGACAAGTGACCTGGTCATTTCTCTCTGGTGTGCCTCCCTGGGTGAGAAAGGCTGGATTGCAGATCAGCTGTTAACTCTTTCCTTCTCACTTGCATAGATATGTCATGTGGGGAGCTAGCTAATGAAGTACACTATTTAGAGGGTGGACTCTTGGTGATGGGGGAAGAACAAGAGAAACAAATTTCTAAGAAGTTTCTGTGGAAAACAGCTTACCGTAGTCTAACAAAACACACCCTGTAAATGTAGCATCTGAAAGAAGATAGGCATGCAATAAACATTCATCAAATACACAAAAATGCAAATCTTCTATAGGGCAAACAGCTTAGAACACGAATTGACTCACAACACACCCCTGCATCATCTTGAAGACATTAATGATTAACCCACTTTCACACTGGTGGGATTAATCCTGTGTGGGATTAATCTAGCACAGTAAAAAAATGCAGGGTATTCCCTGACCTCCAATTGGCTGAGTCCAGTTGTTAGAACTGCTGGTGTGATCACTGGTAATAAATGGCTTTATGTTTATTCTCACTTTAAAAAGCCACTTTGACATTCAGCTTTGCAAAATGAATTCAGACGTTTAATGCTCCATTGAGAATTAGTGGATTTGTTTCATGTTCAAAACCCATGAACAAAACAGAGCTTATTCTAGAAACCAATTATTCAACATTCTGAAGCTCTCCAGAGCACCAGAGCGCATATAAAAGAAATACCTTGGCCAAGCATGGCGGCTCATGCCTGTAAGCCCAGCATTTCGGGAGGTTGAAGCAGGTGGACTGCTTAAGCCCCGGAGTTCGAGACCACACTGGGCAACATGGTCAAACCCCATCTCTACAACAAATACAAAAAAATTAACCAGGCATGATGGCACATGCCTGTAGTCCCAGCTACTTGGGAGGCTGAGGTGGGAGGATCACCTAAGCCCAGGGAAGTCGAAGCTGCAGTGAGCTATGATTGCACCACTGCACAACAACCTAGGCAACAGAGTGAGACCCTGTCTTAAGGAAAAAAATAAAAGAGAGAGAGAGAGAGAGAGATACCTGAATAGGTACCATTTAGAACTTTTTAAGAAAATACCTGAACAGGTACTGTTTGTTTTTTTTTTTTTTTTTTTTTTTTTTTTTGAGATAGACTTTCACTCTTGTCACCCAGGTTGGAGTGCAATGGCGCAATCTCGGCTCACTGCAACCTCCGCCTCCTGGGTTCAAGCGATTCTCCTGCCTCAGCCTCCTGAGTAGCTGGGATTATAGGCACCCACCACCACACCCAGCTAATTTTTGTATTTTTAGTACAGATGGGGTTTCACCATTTTGGTCAGGCTGGTCTTGAACTCCTGACCTCAGGTGATCCACCCACCTCGTCCTCCCAAAGTACTGGGATTACAGATGTGAGCCACCGCACCCAGCCTCTGTTTACACACTACCACATAGGATGGTCCTTGGAAACAGAAAATACCACCCAAACTCTCTCTTGGCAATCACCCTTATTAAGTGAGTGTGTTTCATTTTGGTGCTAATTAAATGAATTTTGCTTTGCTGGATCTGTGAAATCACTCAATTTCTTGTTTAGCTCCTTTAGATAAACCATAACTAGGCTGGGCGTGGTGGCTCACACCTGTAATCCCAGCACTTTGGGAGGCCGAGGCGGGCAGATCACCTGAGGTCAGGAGTTGAAGAGTAGCCTGACCAATATGGTGAAACCCTGTCCCTACCAAAAATACAAAAAAAAAATTAGCTGGGTGTGGTGGCACTTGCCTATAGTCCCAGCTACTCAGGAGGCTGAGGCAGGAGAATCACTTGAACCTAGGAGGCGGAGGTTACGGTGAGCAGAGATGGCGCCACTGCACTCCAGCCTGGGCGACAGAGCGAGACTCCGTCTCAAAACAAACAAACAAAAGCCATAACACTACTAACTTGTCTCTTTTTCTTTTTTAATTTTTTTGACAGATTTATTGAGATATAGTTCATATAGCATAAAATTCACTATTTAAAGTTTATAGTTGAGTGGTTTTCAATATATTACAGAGTTTTACAACCATCACTGCAATCTAATCTTAGGCCATTTCAATTTTCCTCTATTAAAAAAGGATTTCCTAAACTAGGGCTAGCCAAGTATTCCCAGCGTGGAAGAAACAGGCAAGACCTTTAGATTATGATTAGGTCCAAAGAAATGTCACAGGAAGGCAGATGGGAAAGAAGAGTTGTTTTGTGTGGTACAGCAACCCTGCCTGCCACTCACAAGGAGAGAATAAAAGGGCAAAGGGCAAAGGGCAAGTTTGCATCTATAAATAGATTCTAGAAATAGCCACTGAATGAAAGCAGCAACTCTCTTGGAAGAGCTTTGCTGCCAACACAAAGATTAGATTCCTAGTTCCCAAATGAGGTAAGTGTTGGGTTGTACTGCGAAAGGCCTCTTGACTCAAAAAGTCCTTTGAGTAGATGGTGGGGCAGCAGGATATTATGTTATGGATTTACCTCTCCAATTAGAAAATATAGGGCTTGTGAAATGCACACACACCTGTGCAAATCCAAGCACCTCCCATAAATCTTCAGAATGGTTTTGTACCCAAAATAATGCAAACAAAGATCACATAATTTAAAAAAAGTGACAGAATTTAAGTGAAGAAAGCATTATATATAACTATTGGAAAGTATAATTTAAAAGAAAATGCTTAATCTTTCCAGAAAGGAAAAAAATGAAAAGAAAATACAGTGAATTAACAGCAATTGTATCTAATGGTAGAGGACAGATTTTTTCCCAAATTTTCTGTCTTATCCCATTGTTTAATAAGCTTATGATACTACTATACTTTTTTATAACTAAAACTTTTAATAAAGATATAAAACAAAAACAAATTGTGAAACATTAGTGGTATAATTTTTTGATACTTTAAAAATATTTTTTAGCCAACATCAAAAAGCAAAATTAAAAAATGAATTGTCACTGAGTATAAACAGATACGATAAATGCATTTCTAGCACAGGGTCTTACACGTCATAAACATTCCATGTTTCTATGTTCATTTTCTTCACCTTTAAAATGGACACTAGTCCTCTTTCAATTTTTATTCATCAAAGCTAAGAGCGCAAAACCTGAATAATTTTTTTTTGTTTGGTTAATGAACTATAAGTGATCAATCTCAAGTCTCATAAGAACCCTTTCATGGAAACCTGATTTGCTAGACAGTGATCTGGACACTGCTGAGGATTTCAGAAATACTCTGCCTGCTCCAGCCAGAGCTCCAACCTGTGCCTCTAATCCTCCATACCCCCAAATCGCTTACACTTTCTACCTCCTCGATGTCTCCTGAAAGTGTCTGTTTCCTCCAACACTACTTGCTGCTTCTCTAGAGCAGGAGTTGGCAATGTTTTTCTGTAAAGGGCCAGATAGTAAATATTTTAGACTTTGCAGACCATACGGTCTCTTTTGCAACAACTCAACTCTGCTGCTGTATAGCAAGAGGGGCCACGGATAATACACAAATACATGGACATGATTGTATTGTAACAAAATCTTGTTTACAAAAACAGGCAGTGGGCTGGATATAGTTTATAGTTCACAGTTTGCCATTCCTGGCCCTAGAGTGTTCCACTACCTCATTGTTGATCTACCTGGCTCCAGTCTTCTTTCCTTACAACCTACTCTCCACCCTAGTCAGAATGATATTCCTGAAATGTAAACCTGATTATGGCAGTCTTTCAGAGAGATATGGATACCAAATGTACATTCTCTTCTATTTGCTTTGTCACAGAGTTCTGATTTTTTGTCAGAGAATATACAGTACATGGCAGTCCAGGAAAAAAATAATAATACACAACCTAGCCTCCTTCATAACAAGGTATAAATATGTAACAAGTCCTGGTCAGGAATATATAAATTGAAGTATGATGTGAGATTTGAAGACAGGCCCCTTTAAAATTAGGAAGCAGTGCTGGGTGTGATGGCTCACGCCTGTAATCCCAACACTTTAGGAAGCCGAGGTGGGAGGATCACTTGAGGCCAAGAGTTCAAGACCAGCGAGATCCTGTCTCCACAAAAAAATAAAAAAATAAGATAAAATTAGGAAGTGGAGTATTGACTTGGAGTGCAGATGTAAAGATGTGATGGGTAGAATTTCAGCAACTATCATGGCCAGTGCGATCTCTGCTCACTGCAGCCTCCACCTCCCAGTTTCAAGCGATTCTCCCACCTCAGCCTCCAGAGTAGCTGAGACTACAGGAGCACGCCACCATGCCCGGCTAATTTTTGTGTTTTTAGTAGAGATGGGGTTTCACCATATTGGCTAGGCTGGTCTCAGACTCCTGACCTCAAGTGATCCACCTGCCTCGGCCTCTCAAAGTGCTGTGATTACAGGCAGGAGCCACCGTGCCCAGTCCCCTGCATTATTTCTACAGCCTCAGCTCATGCTCCTTCCCTTCCTACTCTCAGCTTCAGCCATATTTTACTTTCAGTTCCTTGGAGGGGTGATGACTAATCTGCTGACCATCTCCCACGCAGCACCCTCTGCCTGAAATGCTCTCAGTCTTTCCTGCTTCTCCTCCTGGATTGTTACTCGTTCTCTTGTCTCTGCTGAGGTGTCATTCCCTCCAGGAAGGTTTCCTGAATGGCAGTATCTTCCCTCATAAGTGGAGTTTCTTTCTCACTGATGTTTGGATCCCCGGGGCCTAGCCCAATGTCTGATACTCAGTGGGTTGTAGAAGAAATATGCACTGAATTCATTAATTAATCAATGAATCAAAGAAATGATGTACTATCTACAAGTTAAATGCAGTATCTCAGCTGGAGTCTTCATAGCCAGGTTTCCTGGGATAACAGCTATAAATTAACATGCTTTTCTAAAGTCATTTACTCCTTTTAAAAATTAAATAGAGGTTGCCAACAAAACTACTAAAGCTAACTTAAATAATATAACTTAAAGATGACAAAAACCTGAATAACATGTAAGAAATATAGACTTTAGAACAATTTCTTACTATGCTGCAAGTATTTCTTAAATGAATGCATTTTTTTTCTCTGATTTCCTCCAGATTAGTGCCACTGAGTACCAGGCTGGTTCATTATTCATTACTTGCTCATTTAAGTATAGAAGTTGAGAGTACTTGGAAATATTGTCACCTTTACAGAGTAAATGAATTATATTTCAATCTGATAATAAAAAATGTTTTTGTATTTTTTGTCCTTTTGTTACTTTATTTTTAAGTAAGTAAATGTTAGTGTGTTTGAAAGATGTATGGGTTCACAATAAATAGGAAATTGTTTTAAAAACTGGTTTTCCCTACCAATAATTTGGGAAGCACTGTGTAAATGTTTTAATCTGGGTTAGATCATCTAAAGCTGTGGTTCTCAATCAGGGGAGTTCTGTTTCCCAGAAGACATTTGGCAATGTCTGGAGACATTTTTGGTTGTCACGACTGGCATAGGGGGAATAATACTGGCATGTGGTGTGGGTAGAGACCAGGGATGCTGCTACACATCCTACAATGCACTGGAACAGCCTCCACAGCAAAGAATGTTCGGGTCTCAAATGTCAACAGTGCTGAGGTTGAGAATCCCTGATCTAAAGATTTATCTAAACTCAGAACCTAAGCCAGTTTAGGGCCAAAGACCGACCCACCCTCCCTCCCTCCCTCCCTTTCTCTCTTCCTCCCTTTCATTCATCTTTCCATCCTTCCCCTCTCTCTTTCTTTCCTTCTTTCTTTTCTTTTTTCTTTTCTTTCTTCTTTCTTTTCTTTCATGTTCATTCTTCTTTCCTCTTCTCAGCTGATAACTTGCTTCTTCCCATCAGAACGACAAACAGAAAAATTACATGCTCACATGCTTACACAGTTAGATTTGATAAAAACTTTCTGCTCTTTTTTGAGTCAAAGAGACTTTCTTCTTCCTCTTGACACCCTCAGATTCTTCATGGCAGAGCAAAAAGACAAGCACAGTATGATTATTTTGCAGCAGGAGGGTCTCATGACTCTTTTCTCCTATGACCAGTTTTTCTGACAGCTAGTTTTGTTTTGTTTTTTTAATTTCTCAGGCTCTTATTTAGAACATGTGTTAGCATGAATTTGAAAGCAATGCTGAGATGTTCCCATTACAAAAACTTCTCTATTGACCCTTCTGGCAACCATCTCAATTAAAATTATTTTCCTGTTGGACTTGAATTTACTGTTCAAGCTTCTTGGAAAATATTTTTTTCAAATACATATAAACAGGCCCTAACAAGTTTTGCTAAACAAAAACATGAAATGATTTATCTATTGCTGTTTATGCTTATTTGCATTCTCATTGCTACTAGAAATCATTTAATTTCACTTGATTTTCATTCAATGACCTGACCTGTTTTCTTCATGTTGGCAGAAGAACATTTATGTCATCAATGCTATTTCTAGTTTACTGGCCCCAAAATTAAAATGGTGAATCAGAATGGGACCAAACAGAGGGAGTTACTTTCCAGTGCCTCACAAGACAGCCTCAAATTGTGGTCTCTAAACTAGCAGTGTCAGCTGGGTGCAGTGGCTCACGCCGGTAATCCCAGCACTTTGGGAGGCCAAGGCGGGCTGATCACTTGAGGTCAGGAGTTCGAGACCAACCTGACCAACATGGTGAAACCCCATCTCTACTAAAAATACAAAAAATTAGCTGGGTGTGGTGGCACGCGCCTGTAATCCCAGCTACTCAGGAGGCTGAGGCAGGAGAATCGCTTGAACCTGAGAGGCAGAGGTTGCAGTGAGCCGAGATCATGCCACTGCACTCCAGCCTGGGAAACAGTGAGACTCCGTCTCAAAAATAAAATAAAATAAATTAGCAGCATCAGTATCACCTAGAAACATAGCAATGCAGATTCTCAGATCCTACCTTAGACCTACACTCTAAGGGTGGGGCCCTGCAATCTATTCAATATATTTCTTAAAACTATCCTAATTATTCTGATACAATAGGTTTGAGGACCATTGGCCTATACTCATGATTTCCAACCCTGGTTGCACATTAAAGACCACTTTGGGAGTTTTACTTTATTTTCATTGTTTTTTGTTGTTTTGTTTGTTTTGAGACAGGGTCTCGCTCTGTCACCCAGGCTGGCACAGGCACAACTGTGACTCACTGCAGCCTCGATCCCCTGGGCTCAATCAATCCTCCCACCTCAGCCTACTTAGTAACTAGGACCACAGGTGTACGCCATCATGCCCAGCTAATTTTTAAATTTTTTATAGAGAGAGGGTCTCACGATGTTGCCCAGGCTGGTCTCAAACTCCTGGGCTCAAGCAAATCTTCCCACCTCAGCCTCCCAAATCGCTGGGATTACAGGTGTGAGCCACCATGCCCAGCCCACCTTGGGGGTTTTAAAAGCCCAGAGGCCCATGCTACATGCCAGACTAATTAGATTGTTTAAGGGTGAGACAGAAGAATTTTTTAAAGCTCCCCAGGTAATTCTGTGTAGCCAAGGTTCAGAACCAGTGGGTTATCCCGGGGTTCCTTAACTGCAGAAGGCTGTTCTAGCACTGCAGGGGTTTAGCAGTGTCCCTGGCCTCTACCTACTAGAAGCCAATAGAACTAACTCCCCCAACCCCCACCGCCATTGTCATCCAAACTCTGCAGACACTGTCAAAGGTCCTTGGGGGCAAAATTCCAAAATTCCCCCATCAACTGCTGAGGCCTCCCTCCTCCCCCTCCCACTGTGGCTGAGAACCACTGGGTTAGAGTTCATTGTTTTCTTTCCAAGAGAGATCACTGACCTACCCAAATCAGAATCATTTCAGCTCAGGGCTTATTAGCAGTGCACATTCTAAAGCCCCACCCAGATCTGAATCAGAATCCTCCAGGAGATCTGGATGCTTGTTAGTATCTATAATTCTCAAGTGGTTTAAAGTTAGAGAATCACTGAGTTGAGTATTCCTTCTTAAGGGCAGATTGATTTTGGTACTTAAAAAAGCAAAATATGGCCTGTTTGGGATCCTGTTATTTATCACAGGTAGAAGGGAATTGATTTATGGTTCTTCCAAAGATTCTAGCTTAGTCAGACAGTCCCACTTAAGTTTAGACATCTCTCTGATGTGCAGTGAGATAAAGCAAAGCTATAAAATTTGAATCCAGTGATGTTTTGTGTAAATGACTATTTCAGCACCAACATAACATTTTATTCAGAGATTCTTGACCATAAAGGATATTCATTGTTTTGGTCTGTACATCTTGAAAACCACAGATCACAGAATCAGATGAGTTTGCTACATTGATTCCAATTTACTTAAGAGTGTGAGCAGCACCGATGATCTTTTTTTTTAACTATTTTGGTCTTTGGTTTCCATTACAGACGCTATCAATCCTCTATGAATTTTTTTTAACTTTTTTGGAGAGCTTCTTGGCCATGTCCCAAGCATGTCTCCACTTACTGGTTACTTTTGCTCTGTACATTGTCTGTGCATATATACAACACACTTCCCAGTTTAATCAAAGTTTGCCATGCCTCAAACCCCCTACCTGTAATGTCACTTGGAATCATGCATTCATTCACTATTCAGGGATGAATATCATAATGAATAGATGCTTTTAGAGGAGCTTTGGCAAAAATCTAAGAAACCTCTGACAAAGGGTCATTTTTCTGCCTTGGGAAATTAGCAAAGTTTTCATACATGAGGAGGCATTTGAACTGGCCTTGGAGGATGAGCAGGCCTTAGAGGATGAGCAGGAATTCACCAAGCAGAATATAGAGGACTGTTTCAGAAGATAAATTTTATATCAAAGATTCAAAGATTAGATAAGAATCTGTCCTATTTCTGTATCTCAAAGAGTTTATAGTACCAAGGCCTGAAACGAAGGGTACTCTAACTGTAAGAGGTCTGTTGCTGGATGCACACAGCAAATCAATACACCAAGGCACCAGGTTGTAGCAGAGAAAAAGGTTTAACCATAGGGACAATGAACAGGAAGATAGGAGGAAACTCAAAATCCATCTCTCCAAGGAGTCTGGGGCTAGGGGCTTTAAGGGTTTTGGAGTGGGCCAGAGTGTGGAGATAGTTGATTGCTTGAAAAGTGCAAGGTGAAGTTGTGGGACAGGGAGATGAAGAAGCTGTGTTCTCACACTGATTGGGTTCCTCTGCAGGGGACTTCATATTGGTTGGTACCAGCTGTTTCACTGGAATTCAGGATCTGCTGAAACAATTCTTAAACAGAAGCCTTGTGATTTCTAATGTCAGAGATCCCATTGATAGGAACAATGGGGCTGGAAATGGTCAGGATCTGGTGTTACGTGACTTGTGGTTACAAGGAAGTGGCACCAAGTGCAGCCTGAGGAATGCTTAATGATTACTCTATTTCTGTCCAGATTTCTTGGGAACCGTGTGAAAATGGCTTCGGTGCTGTTTTATCAATGACCAAAGAATATCACAGGCACTTTTAGACAATATAATTTCCCCCCAGAGAGGAAAACAAGTTGGAGAGCTTGGCATTCTATAATATTACTCTTTAATATTAAAGAAATACTATTAGTCATATAAAATTTCAGATTTGGCCAGAAAGAAGAAAAAAGGAAAAAACAAAGAAGTTGACTTCCATGCACGCATCAGAAATTCATTTCATTGTGGTCCAGTGATTCTCAACTGGAGATCATTTTGACTCCCAAGGCACATGTGGCAATATCTGAAGACATTTTTGGTTGCCACATCTGGGGTGGGAGTGTGATTACTGGAGACCAGAGATGATGCTAAACATCCTACAAGGCACAGGACAGCCCCTCACAACAAAGAATAAAAACTGTTAAAAACTTTAAAATCCAAAATATCAATAGTGCTGATGTTGAGAAATTGTTCTAGTCCATGCTGTAGACATGGCTAAAGGTACATTTATTTAAACTGGCATGCTTTATTTTGTGGAATGGAAATCAGTGTTGTTCAGCTCTTTGTTCCTTAGACAGTTTAAATGATGACATATAAGATTTACCTTGTCCCACCCTTACTGCTGCACAGTTTCATCTATAAACAAGGCCCTCATGAATTTAGAACACTGTGCAAACTCATGCGAATTTAATAACTTTAGTTGAGGAAAAATAAGATAAGAATCAAAGCATGAGGGAAGACATCATGGCTCCAAGGCTGTGGGCCCATCACTGTCAGCCCAACATAAATATTTATGGCAGCACATTCCACTATGAATGTATTTGTCTAGAAAAGAGTTGTTTCATCCCGATTTAAGCAGAAGCAAGGTTTTCTAAATACAGCCTGTATTATTTGAAATGAATAGTCCTATAGTTGTACCAGGAAGAAACAGTACGGAAATTTAATATTCAGTCAAGAAACATGCAAAGAATGGGGGTGGGAAACAAGACTGCCTTTGTCTAAAACTATACTGCCAATTTGGTAGGCACTAAGTAAATGTAGCTATTAAGCACTTGAAATGTAGCGAGTCCAAATTGAGATGTCCTGAAAATGTAAAATATATACCACATTTTGAAGACTTAGTCCAGAAAAAAGGATACAAAATGTCTCATTAATAATTTGCATATTGACTACAAGTTAAAATGATATTTTGGACGTATTGGGTTAAATAAAATATTGTATTAAAACTAATTTAACCTTTAAAAGATTTTTAATGAGGTTGCTAGAAATTTTTAAATTTTTATGTGACTTGTTTTATTATTTATTTATTTATTTATTTAGAGACAGGATCTTGCTCTGTCACCCAAGCTGGAGTACAGTGGCACCATCTCGGCTCACTGTAGCCTTCACCACCCGGGCTCAAATGATCCTCCCACCTCAGCCTCCCAAGTAGCTGGGACTACAGGTGTGTGCCACCATGCCCGGCTAATTTGCTTTTTTAAATTTTTATAGAGACAGGGTCTTACTATGTTGCCCAGGCTAATCTGGAACTCCTGAGCTCAAGCGATCCTCCTGCCTCGGCCTCCCAAAATGCTGGGATTACAGGTATGAGCCACCACATCCAGCCTAGTTTTACATTTCTATTAGACAGTGCTGGTCTAAAAGCACAGATTTCTGTTGTTCTTTTTAAAGCTTATTGTGATGGTCATGAAGGCCTTAGAGTTGAGATTTCTAATTTCAATCACCATGCTACTGGTTCTCAGCCTTGGCTGCTTGGAGAGATTTTAAAAGATATTGATGCTTCAATACCCACAGGCAAAGAAAGAAAAAAATAAAAAGACCCTAGACTGAAACCCTACATCTTATACAAAAATTAACTCAGTGTATAGATTTAAATGTAAAATGTAAAGCTATAAAACTTCTATAGGAAAATATAGAGGAAGATCCTCAGGGTCTAAGGCTAGGCAACACGTTCTTTGGCTTCATTAAAAAGCACAGTCTATAAAAGGAAAAGTAAGTTGGACTTAATCAAAATCACAAACTTCTGCTCTGTGTTAGTCCATGTAACGAGAGTGAAAAGACAAGATACAACCTGGGAGAACACATTTGTAAACCCACGTCTCATGAAGTATGGAGAAGATCTAGACAGCTCCCAAACTCAACAGTACAAATACAAATAATTGAATTAGAATATGGGGAAAAGATATGAACATATATCTGACCAAAGAGGATATATAGACGGCAAATAAGCACATGAAAACATGTTCAACAACATTAGCCATTAGGAAAATGCAAATTAAAACCAATGCATAAGAGTCTACAACAATCTCAGTATAAATTTCAATTTTAAAAAGTATGAACACCACCCCCATTCAACTTCTTTCACCCACCAGACTCTGATTTAAATGGCTTGGAGTGTGACCTGGGCAGTGAGAGTGTAAAATCTCCCCTATGTGATTTTAATGTGCAGCCAAGGTTAAGAACAATTCTCCTAGGATAAAGAGTATAGCTTAATAGAAATTTTTAAAATAGAGCCTGAAGCCAGGTGAGGAAAAATGCTGATGTGGAGTTTTCTGATTGAGAGTTATCTTCACACTCAGTCTCCAAATAACAGAATGAATGCAGCTCGTTCTCAGGATGGTTTATGTTGCAGCTACAGATCTAGCTATTTCTAGTCACCACAAAGAACCGGAGTTGGGCAAATTGACCAGGTGGATATAATTATTAGTGATGCTTTTCTGTGTCCTCTTTTTTTCTCCATTAACTTCTCTTTCCAACTACTAGTTTTCAAATTTGTTGTCTGCACGTTGGACTCACCCGGGGTGCTTATAAAATGTTGATATCTGGGTCTTGCCCTGGAGATTCTTATTTTATTGCTGTGGAGTGTGGCTTAGGCATCAGGACTTAGAGAAAATCTCCCAGAGGATTCTAAATATACAGAATTTGGAGGACCCCTGTTTCAGGCCACTGGGTCTCAATCCTGCCTGCAAGTTGGAATTAACTGGGAGAGATTTTCAACATCCTGATGTCTGACATCCAATGATTCTGATTTAATTGTTCTGGGATATGGCCAGGTCATAGGGATTTTTTAAGGTCCCCAAGTACTTCCAACATGCAGTCAAGGTTGAAAACCACCAGTTTAGGCATTTATCCTCCATTATCTTCAAAAGAGCTATCATCTGTGTTCTTGCACACTGATGATTGAACACTTCAATAGGGAGGAGAACACTTTATAGGTTGGGGGAGGGGGGAAGACCCAGTTTGGTCTCTTCAATTTTGCTAACTACTTTATTTAATTAATTAATTAATTTAGAGATGGAATCTCACTCTTGTCACCCAGGTTGGAGTGCAGTGGCGCGATCTTGGCTCACTGCAACCTCTGCCTCCTGGGTTCAAGCGATTCTCCTGCCTTAGCCTCCCAAGTAGCTGGGACTACAGGTGCCTACCACCACACCAGGCTAATTTTTGTAGTTTTGGTAGAGACAGGGTTTCACAATGTTGGCCAGGCTTGTCTTGAACTCCTGATCTCAAGTGATCCACCCGCCTTAGCCTCCCAAAGTGCTGGGATTACAGGCATGAGCCACCACACCCGGCCTTACTTTATTTATTTTTATTTTTATTTATTTTTTGAGACATGGTCTCACTCTGCTGTCCAGGCTAAAGTGGTGCAATCACTGCTCACTGGAGCCTCGACCTCCTGGGTTCAAGCCATCCTCCCACTTCAGCCTCCCAAGTAACTGGGACTACAGGCATGCACCACCATGCCAAGCAAATTTAAAAAATAATTTTATAGAGATGGGGTCTCACTATGTTGCCCAGGCTGGTCTTGAACTTCTGGGCTTAAGTGATCCTCCCACCTTGGCCTCCCGAAGTGATAAGATTATTGGCATGAGGCACCATGCCTGGTTGACTACTGTTTCTATTTGTAAGGCTGGGAAACCATTTTCACTTAGCCTTATTACCAGTGCACAGCATAATATCCCCTTTCCCTTACAAATGGATTTGTCTACTTTGAGCCCACAACCACCCATCCAACTGCCATGAAACTGCTCATGTTGAGGATCAGAAAACAATATCCCAAAGTATGGCACTTGGACATACTGAGTATTGTTTGTGTGTGTGTGTGGAGAACAGGGTCTCATTATATTGCCCAGGCAGGTCTCCAACTCCTAGGCTCAAGCTATCCTCCCATCTCTCCCTCCCTAAGAGCTGGGACTACAGTATGTCCATGCCTGACGGACATACTGAGTACTTTGAACAAAAGAAGCAGCTTCAGAACCAACATTTCTCTGAACTTTTCCTGCCTTTGTTTCTCAGCCTTCTGCCTCTCCCTAAGTACAGGGAGGGGCTTTCTCTGAAGGTACCTTATCTGACGAAGGGAAGTTCCTCCAGAAGGAATGCAATGGTTTTGAGCCCCCTCCCTAGAATCTCATCAAATGGGGAAGAGTAACTCTCTAGAAAGAAAACTAGAGTTGATACCACCAGAACCCCGATGAACTCTGTCTCAGGATATTGTCTGTTCATCGGACCCATTCATCTCCTCTAAAAATTACTTACACTTAAAATTGCCTACGTTCCCCACTTCTCTCTCTTTTATGAAGAAGGGTATATCTTTTATGAAGAAGCTTTAAATCTCATTGGGTTATTGGGTACTCACTTTCCTGTGATGCCCTTGTACATGTAATAACCTTATATGACTTTCTCCTGTCAATCTATTGTCGGCGCATTTTCATAGACTCAAATTAATCAAACCTCCAGAGGGCACAGGGAAGTTCCCTTTGCCCCTGCACCCAAGCCAGTGATTCTCAAATTTTGCTGCACATTAAAATCTCCTGGAGATCTTTAAAAAACACCAATGTCTGGGCCCTAACCCCAGAAAGCCTGATGTAAATTGTCTGGGGTGCAATCTGGGAATTGAGATTTTTAAGTCTCTAAAGAGTCTAATGTTTAGCTAAGTTTGAAAATCACTGGTCAATGTGATATTTTATTTAGTGATGCAAAACTGACTTTTGTACCAAAGATCCTAACAAAACAGTCAACAAGAAGTAGGCCCGTAGAATGTCTTATGTTCAAGCTAAGGACTCACTACAACACGGTGCAACAGAGAATGTTCGTAGATGCATCGTTACTTGGAACACCATATTCCTAATCTGAATCACCCCTACACATGCAGCTAAGACACTGACAGTGCATCAGAGAGTCTCCTGTGTAAACTGTGCAGAGTTCATGAACACGCCAAGTCTCCAGATGTGCTGAAGGGAAAGTAGCTCTTCTGCAAAACAGTAACTCTCAACTCATCAACCCTCTACCTCCTAGTGGGCCAACATCAAATGCAAATTAAAGATAAACTAATTTAAGTACTAACTGCCTCTACCTCATCTCCTGAGGGAGTTGGTGTTTGTGATCACACCTCCAAAGTGGTATGCCACCTGCAGACTGCCATTTTCATCTGATGTGCATAATTGCACAGCCTCATTTTGAATATAACTGCTTGCATTCATTTCCAGATTCCATAATAGTGGAAGATATTATCCCATGTTAAAATATTCTTTTCATCCCCATTCAGTGGGCACTTTCAGTTTCAAGATGAGCATCTGAGAGGAATCACCACCCCTGGGAGCAATCTTCAGGGAGACTTGAAAGAGAAAAGAAATTTAAATAGACATTATAAGAGAGAATCATATGCTTTATGCTATGATTAAAAGTCCAACCTCTTACTGAAAGGGATAAGTGCCAGAAGATGAGTCGTATAGGCAAGAGGAGTGGGATGTATACAGCAAGGAAGAGTGTGTAGCAGGGGCCCTAAGAACCACTGCTAAAGGCAGGCAAACATGTGGATTGAAAGCTTGTGGTCCCCAATTTTCCTGAGCTGAGCATTCTGGAAGCAAGCTTTTAAACATCTAGGAGACACTGTGATGGTTTTTCCCAGCTGAGCCCACTGGAAGCTCTTTCCACATGCAGACGATGATGTGAAGTCAGAATATAAATGAGGGTTAGAATGAGCATTGGTATTTCTAAATTTCCCATTGATTTTATAAATATATATATAAATATATGAATATATATATGTATATTTTCTACATAAGGGGTAGTCTGTCCTGGGGTAAAGAGTTTACTAAATCAGGGAGCAGAATGACTGTCTATTAGGTTTAGCTAAAAAGTTCAGAGTTTCTGCCTGCAAAGCTGTGTAACCAGGTCATGGCCAGAAACAGAGACGAGAAGCAATTGCATTTTTCATTATACACGCTGGCTTTTCCTGACTATCTGTGTTTCAAATTCTAGCAAAATTAAACATCTATACAAATGCGCCAGGCGCGGTGGCTCACACCTGTAATCCTAGCACTTTGGGAGGTCAAGGCAGGTGGATCTCTTGAGGTCAGGAGTTTAAGACCAGCCTGGCCAACATGGTGAAACCCTATCTCTACTAAAAATACAAAAATCAGCCAGACGTGGTGGCAGGTGCTTGTAATCCCAGCTACTCAGGATGCCGAGGCAGGAGAACTGCTTGAACCTGGGAGGAGGAGGTTGCAGTGAGCCGAGATCATGCCACTGCACTCCAGCCTGGGCGACAGAGCGAGACTGTGTCAAAAAAAAAAAAATCTATACAAATGATTCTCACACTTCAGCATGCATCAGAATCACCTGGATGGCCTGTTAAAACACACCTGGTCTGTTTTGTGTTCTGTAGGTCCAGGGTGGGATCTGAGAATTTGCATCTCCAACAAGTCCCCGGGAGATGCTGATGTTGATCCAGGGACCACAATCTGAGGGCCACTACTGTGAGGATAATTTATGGGTATTTTGTTAAATTTAAAGGATGATTTACACATGACTCTGGGGACTTATACCCAAGTATCTTTTTTTTTAAATTTTATTTTATTATTATTATTTTAAAAATATATTTGGATCGCCAGTAAGTCAAGTTAGCATGGGATTTGAAGTCACATGGAAGATGCTGACTTTGTATGCCCATGATGTGGCCATGTGATGGGAACTTCTGATTTCACATACAAAGCAGTAGCTGACTACTAAACAAGGAAAACAATGTATAAAAAAACACATGGGGGCATCAATGGAAATACCAAACTCCAAATGCAGAAAGCAGAATGAGTGGGTGGGTGGGGGAGACTGGGAAGACAAAGAAATGTTGTTTTGTGGATGAGATGCTCATCTTTTACATGAAGGACAGACTAGTCCCGAAGAACTAAGCAGGAAGGTTTTGGTTATTTATTTACAAATTTCATGATTATTAATGTCCACAGGGTTGTGCTGAGTCACACATCTGAAAGAATTTTCTAGTTGGGAAGTTTGTGATGTTGAAATATGGTATGAATGGAGATGAAGTTTATCTTCTTTGAAGATTTAAATTTGGGACTTTGCCATTATTTACTCATCAGCCAGAGCTGGTTTTAGGTAGACTCTCCTTGATGCAGAAGGATGGATTTAATGATCTCTCAAGTTCCACTTCTTCTTTATGCAAAGAAGATATGTAAAGAAAAACTAGTGCTTCAATGGGAAACTATGTGTTGTCTATAGCTCACCTTTCCCCATTATTTTATTCTGATTCTATGAAAGCTATTTTACAACTCTGTAAGCTATAGATAACCAATAGCAAAACAATTTTTGGTTATATGCAGGCAAATTTTGTTTCTCGGAGGTTCAATCAACTTCCTTCTTCCACTGAGGCAAAAGCTGGTTTTGGTTTTATGTACAATACTGTAATACAGTTCTGATACTAACCACCTGGAGTTAGTGCAGACTCCACAGGTTAAGGGCACAGTCCTCAACAAGACTTCCCTCTCTACAGATGCCAGTTGCAAATTTGGCAGAGACACTTTTATCATTTGAGAAATTTCGAGGATTTAGAAGCTCCTTTCCAGGAAATGATGAGGACAAAAGCCAGTCCAAATTTTTTGTTATATAATGATCTACATTTGCACATTTAGTTTGATATTGATCTACAACTGTGTCTATTTTTTGGATTTTCTTTTTTTTTTCCTGAGACAGAGTCTCGCTCTGTCACCCAGGCTGGAGTGCAGTGGTGCAATCTCGTCTCACTGCAAGCTCTGCCTCCCAGGTTCACGCCATTCTTCTGCCTCAGCCTCCCAAGTAGCTGGGACCACAGGTGCCCGCCACCACGCCCGGCTAATTTTTTTTTTTTTTAGTAGAGATGGGGTTTCACCGTGTTAGGCAGGATGGTCTCCATCTCCCGACCTCATGATCCGCCTGCCTCAGCCTCCCAAAGTACTGGGATTACAGGCATGAGCCACAGCGCCCGGCCTGGATATTTCTTTTAACTGGTTATAACGTCTGCTTGGTTCTTTTGAGTCTTTTAACTCTTAGGTATGTTAGGGCTCAGGACGCATCACCCCAAAATATTTCTCTTTGGGCTCTTGATTATTAGCTGGTTATTTTGAGAAATTGCAGACACAGGAGTAGCTCTGAGAAGCTGTACCTTTGTAAAAGAAATTTACATCTTCCGGGAAATTTTCATCAGTAAAGTTATCTGTCTCAGGAAGAGAGCTGCTCCAGAGAGACCCTTACCCGCATAAGAAGGCAATCTTTAGTTACCATATATTTCCTCTTCTCACCCTCCCGTAACTTGTCTCCACCACCCCCAGAAGCCCCAAGCCTTTCTTTCTTTGTGTAGCTCAGGATGCCATAGAAGCTTCAATCATCTAGCCCTTCTTAGACTTTCATATTTTGTGGGACTCTCACAGATACATACATAATTAACTATGGTTTTCTCCTGTTAATCTGTCTCACGTCAATTTAATTTGTAGCCCAGCCAAAGAACTTAGAAGGGGGAAGGAAGCAATTTTCCACTCCCCTATAGGTATCTGTAGCAGGAGGTATATCAGAAATTATTTTAGACCATCCGCTCATTTTGTAGTTAAGAACCCAGTGCCCAGAGAGGTTAAGTGAAGTGACCTTGGGCCTCACAGCCGGGAAGAACTAACCTGGGATTGGAACTTCTGCTTCCAGATTCAGACTCTATCTGAATTGTATGCACCACATAGACAGACCCTTTATTCTCCCTGCCCTTCTTCACAGGTGCTTGGCTCTCTGAAAAGAAGACCATCCAAGCACTTATTTATCCTAATTAGGAACTCCCTGCTTTTTCTGTATAACTCTTCCATTAGATCATGAACCTCTTAGGGGTAAGTATGGTGCCCTGTCCCGCTTTGCATCTGTGGTACCTAAGACAATTCTGGCATGTGAAGTGATCAATAGAAAACTGTTTATAGAATGAAGGAATACACAAATGGATAATAACAAGTAATGATAGTTATATGCCATAAATTCCTTTCCTTCAATTATTACATGTAAATCTTATAGCAGTTCCACAGATTAGTTACTACTGTTATTACTGCTACTTTATAGATAAGGAAACTGAGGCTCACAGAGGTCGGAAAAACTTGCCCAAAGTCACAGACAGAAGGTGGCAAAACTTGGTGGGTTATTCTCCCCTTGAACTCTTAACCAGCATTTCTCAAACTTGAATATACATCAGAATCACCTAAAGGACTTGTTAAAAACCTGGGGTGAGACATAAAATTTGCATTTCTAGCAAGTTCTCAGGGGATAATGATGATGCTGGCTCAGGGTCCACAGATAAATCACTGCCCTAGGCTCTGATTTGGTTTGGTTAACTTACCATGAATAAAATCAACAACACAGGGCAGTACAACATAAGAATAAATGCAAGCCACGTTTTTAATACTGAGGGCAATCTTCTTGTACATTTTTCATTTTTACCAAGCAGTCATGAGCAACCCAGGTTTACTCTTTCATTGTTTATTAAGCATAGGATAGGATTGGGAAAGGGTGCAAAATTAAATAAACGGATGTCCTCTAGCATTTTTAGGATGTTTTCTGAGTGGAAAAAATGCCAGTAATCTATTTCTACACAGAATTAAAAACTGAAATACGTGGTTGTTTCCAAATCAGAGAATTCTATCAATTTTGTGTTCTGAGAAAATGATGCAGAGGAATGGAAGAAAAAACTCATTTGAAACTCCTTTTGTCTTTTTTTGCTTTTTGAGACAGAGTCTCACTCTGTCACCCAGGCTGGAGTGCAGTGGCTTGATCTCGGCTCACTGCAACCTCCGCCTCCTGGGTTCAAGCGATTCTCCTGCCTCAGCCTCCTGAGGAGCTAGGATTACAGGCGTGAGCCACTGCGCCCAGCCTGAAACTTCTTTTTTCTATCTACGCCTATGCCAACGAGGGAGAAGGTGGTAATTTACCTGTAGCGGTCTTTAGGGTAAATATACAGGCATTGTTCGTTAGCCCAGGCCTTTTGCAAGAGTATAGCTCCCAGCGGCGACATCATGGTCAGCAGCTCTGCTAACCAAGGTCCATAAAATACTCCTGGTCTTTCTCAGTTTAAGGTGAATTGATCTGGACTGTCAGATTAGATATCAAACAAATACTATAAGAGTCCTTTAAACAAGTGTCCACAATGATCAAGGAGAAAACTTTAGTGAGAAAGTGGGCCATTTAAAGCAGTGGTTCTCAAATTTAACTGCAAAATAGCATCACCTGGGGAGCTCTTATTAATTCCAATGCCCAGGCAATAACCCAGGCCAATTACAACAGCATCTCCTCAGGTGGACCCAAACATTGGCATTTTTTGAAGCTTCCCTGGTGATTCCAATGTGCAGCCAAGTTTGAGAATCAGTATTCCAGGCCGACGCAGTGGCTTACATCTATAATCCCAGTGCTTTGGGAGGTCAAGGCAGGAGGATAGCTTGAGCTCAGGAGTTTGAGACCAGCCTGAGCAACATAGTGAGACTCCCCAACCTCCGCCTGCCCCGCCACTACCATCTGTACAAAAAACAAAATTATCTGGGCGGGGGTGGCATGCATTTCTAGTCCCAGCTCAAGGAAGGCTAAGATGGGAGGATCACTTGAGTCCAGGAGGCTGAGGCTGCAGTGATCTATGATTATGCCACTGTACTCCAGCCTGGGTGACTGTGACCTGTTTCTTAAAAAAAAAAAAAAAAAAAAAGAAGAAGAAGAATCAGTATTCCACAGAAGCACTTCTGAAATTTCAAATTGTACAGGATTTCCCTGAAGATCATGCAGATTCTGATTCAGTAGATCTGGCCTGGGGTAGGGCCTGAGATTTTGTATGTCTAATACTCTCCCAGATGGTGCTGACGCTAGAATGTATCTCAAGTGTAAGAAAACCAGCTAAAATGACTGACAAAGTTGTGCTGTATTGAAGGCAAAGACTGCTGAGACTTGCCTACTTCTGCTTGCCAGTAGTCTTAGTAAGCACCAGAAAATGTCAGGAGAATGTCTGATATTCAGTTCCCATTGATAGTGTTAATATCCTGTTTCTGGTGAGGAGTTAAAGAAGCTCCAGAAACAGAGCTGAAATCCTAATTTCTCTTATGTAGTATCACTGCATGATATGCCCCAGAGTTTCCTAGAATAGCATATTGTGCCCCTTTAGATAGGCTGTTGAATTAAATGAATGCTTAGAAACCCTATGTTTACCATTGTGCAGTAAAATCAGTTTTCAGGGGACAGGATATCTTTCCATGTAATTTGCACCAGGCTAAGCCTTGCGAATGATTTTCCAAGTAATCAGGCATTTCCCCTCCTTCCATGTCTTAGTTTTTTTTTCTGTTGCTATAACAGAATATCACAGACTAGGTAATTTGTACAGAAAAGAAACTTATCTCTTACAGTTCTGGAGGCTGGGAAGTCCAATATCAAAGTGCTGTTATCTGGTGAATGCCTTCTTGCTATGTCATAACATGGTGGAGGGCATCACATCTCAAGAAGGCAAGAGTCTGCCAGTTCTGGCCTCTCTTCCTCTGCTTTTTTTTTTTTTCCGAGACAGGTTCTCACTTTGTCACCCAGGCTAGAGTGCAGTGGTGTGATCATGGCTCACTGCAGCTTCAACCTCCCCAGGTTCAAGCAATCCTCCCACCCCAGCCTCCTGAGTGGCTGGGACCACAGGTGCACACCACCATGCCTGGCCAATTTTTAATTTTTTTTGTAAAGACAGGGTCTTGCTCTGTTGCCCAGGCTGGTCTCAAACTCCTAGTCACAAGTGATCTTCCCACCTTGGCCTCCAAAAGTGCTGGTATTACAGGTATGCACCACAATGTCTGGCATCTCTTCTTTTTATAAAGCCACCAGACCCATCATGGGGGCTTCCCTGATGACTTTATCTAATCCTAACTACCTCCCAAAGACCCCTCCTCCAAATATCATCAAAATATTAATCTGGAGATTATATTTCCAACACATGAAATTTGGGGGACACATTCAAACCATAGCCTTCTACCACTATAATTCTATGAAATATATGATTTGCTTTGAGCATATATTATTCAATGACATCCCCTTCTTTTTTCCTAAGCTAGCTGTTCACCAAATCCTATCATCATTTTCCTAACTAGTCTACTTATTCCAACCTCCATGTGACTGGATTTTAGCCAATGGAATGTGAGTAGAAATGATGTGTGCAGACTTGGTCCATAAAAATCTCTCCTTGCATGAATTTCCAAACACTTTTCTCTGTGCCAACTTGATGAAAATGAACTCAGCAACTTGGAAGCCATGTGTTGAAGATGGCAGAGCCATAAGGTGGAAGGGGAGTACACTAGTGCATTTTCACGCTGCTGATAAAGACACACCTGAACCTGGGCAATTTACAAAAGAAAGAGGTGTAAGGGAATTACAGTTCCATGTGGCTGGGGAGGCCTCACAATCATGGTGGAAGGTAAAAGGCACATCTCACATAGTGGCAGACAAGAGAAGAGAGCTTATGTAGGGAAACTCCCATTTTTAAAACCACCAGATCTCATGAGACTTATTCACTATCATGAAAACAGCATGGGAAAGACCCACTCCCATGATTGAATTATCTCTCACTGGGTCCCTCCCACAACACATGGGAATTATGGGAGCTATAAGATGAAATTTGGTGGGGGCACAGAGCCAAACCATATCATTGTGCCTCTGGCCCCTCCCAAATCTCAGGTCTTCACATTTCAAAACCAATCATGCCTTCCCAACAGTCCCCCAAAGTCTTAACTCATTTCAGCATTAACTCAAAAGTCCACAGTCCAAAGTCTCATCTGAGACTAGGCAAGCCCCTTCTGCCTATGAGTCTGTAAAACCAAAGCAAGTTAGTTACTTCCTAGATACAATGGGGGTACAGGCATTGGGTAAATACAGCAGTTCCAAATGGGAGAAATTGGCCAAAACAAAGGGGCTATAGGCCCCATGCAAGTCCAAAATCCAGCAGGGCAGTCAAATCTTAAAGTTCCAAAATGATCTCCTTTGATTCTATGTGTCAAATCCATGGCATGCTGATGCAAGAGGTGGGTTCCCACAGTCTCAGGCAGCTCTGTGTCTGTGGCTTTGCAGGGTACAGTCTCCATCCCAGCTGCTTTCATGGGCTGGCATTGAGTGTCTGCAGCTTTTCCAGGTGCACAGTGCAATCTGTTGGTGGATCTACCATTCTAGGGTCTGAAAGATGGTAGCCCTCTTCTCACAGCTCCACTAGGCAGTGCCACAGTAGGGATTCTCTGTGGGAGCTCTGACCCACATTTCCCTTCCACACTGCCCTAGCAGAGGTTCTCCAGGAGAGCCCCACCCCTGCAGAAAACTTCCGCCTGGACATCCAGGCATTTTCATACATCCTCTGAAATCTAGGTGGAGGTTCCCAAACCCCAATTCTTGACTTCTGTGTGCTGGCAGGCTCAACATCACATGGAAGATGCCAAGGCTCGAGGCTTGTACCCTCTGAAGCCACAGCCTGAACTCTACATTGGCTCCTTTCAGCCGTGGCTGGAGCAGCTGGGATGCAGGACAAGTCCCTAGGCTACACACAGCAGAAGGACACAGGGCCCAGACCACAGAACCACTTTTTCCTCCTAGGCCTCTGGGCCTGTAACAGGAGGGGCTGCCATGAAAACCTCTGACATACTGTGGAGACATTTTCCCCATTGTCTTGGAGATTAACATTCGGCTGCTTGTTACTTATGCAAATTTCTGCAGCTGGCTTGGATTTCTCCTCGGAAAATGGGATTTTCTTTTCTATTGCATTGTCCAGCTGCAAATTTTCCAAACTTTTATGCTCTGCTTCCCTTATAAAACTGAATGCCTTTAACAGCACCAAAGTTACCTCTTGAATGCTTTGCTGCTTAGAAATTTCTTCCACCAGATACCCTAAATCATCTCTCTCAAGTTCAAAGTTCCACAGATCTCTAGGGCAGGTACAAAATGCCACCAGTCTCTTTGCTAAAACATAACAAGAGTCACCTTTGCTCTAGTTCCCAACAAGTTTCTCATCTCCATCTGAGACCACCTCAGCCTGGATTTAATTGTCCATATTATCATCAGCCTTTTGGTCAAGTCATTCAACAAGTCTCTAGGAAGTTCCAAATTTTCCCACATTTTCCTGTCTTCTTCTGAGGCCTCCACACTGTTCCAACCTCTGCCTGTTACTCAGTTCCAAAGTTGCTTCCATATTTTCAGGTATCTCTTCAGCAATGCCCCACTCTACCAGTACCAATTTACTGTATTAGTCTGTTTTCATGCTGCTGATAAAGACATACACGAGATTGGGCAATTTACAAAAAAAGAGAGGTTTAATAGACTTACAGTTCCACGTGGCTGGGGAGGCCTCATAATCATGGCAGAAGGTGAAAGGTACATCTCACATGGCAGCAGACAAGACAAGAGAGCTTGTGCAGGGAAACTCCCATTTTTTAAACCATCAGATCTCATGAGACTTATTCACTATCATGAGAACAGCACAGGAAAGACCCGCACCCATGATTCAATTATCTCCCACCAGGTCCTCCCACAACAGGTGGGAATTATGGGAGCTACAAGATGAGATGGGTGGGGACACAGAGCCAAACCATATAAGGGAGCTTCCTGCCAATTGGGAGTACCCCACTTTGACTTTACTTGATGCAGAAATATACTTCTTTTGTGTCTAAACCATTGTGTTTCTTTTTGTTGTTTGTTACAGCAGCTATCAATATTTTAACAAATATGTCTCCCAATTATCACAACTCCACCCACCATGGAGAAGCAGAATGTTGGGGTAGGTGAAGAGAAACATGAGTCATTAAGGACACAACTGTGCCAGCATCTCATCCTGGAAAGCAAGGAGTTTGTTGGAGGAGATTAAAATATTCTCTTCCTAATGAATCTCTCTCTTTCCATGGCTCTATGCTGCTAGACTGTTGCCATGAGGCTTGGGAAAGTTTCTCTACTAACAGAATAGATAGTGGGAGCTAATTAAGGAGCAAAGAGTTGCTGGTTGCTGGGGTATGCTTCCTGTCTTTGTTTTAAGAACAAAAAGGATGAAAAGACAGGTTCACACATTGCCCAAGTGACCTCATCAAAGAAAGAAACAAGGAAGGGACAATAGTGATAATGAGGAGAAGAAGGAGGAGGAGAACTAACAATATTAAGTGTTTGACATATGCCACCACTTTGACGAAGTTTTACATGCATTACCTCATTTATTCTTTGGAACAATTCTATTAGTGAGCACTATTAATATCCTCATTTTACAATGACAAAAACCAAAGCTCAGAAAAATTAACTTGACCATGCTGTAAGTAACAGAGCCAAGATGCAAAACCTAGGCAGTATGCCTCCGGATCTTATGACCACATTCACTGTACTGTGCTGCTTCAGGGTCTGGAAGAGGAGACCACCAGTGAAAGATATGCATGTGTCTGTAGTTTGTGCGTTCTTTCTCAGGAACGAAACTAGCTGAATAGAGTAGGGATCTGGCAGAATCAGGGATTCCTAACCCCTGGGGAATCTTGAAAACATGTGTCATGGTTATAAGAAGCAACTCTCAGCTAGCTCACACCTGGCAAACTACATGGTCAATTTTTCACCATTACTCCTGGCTGAAACCCAAAGTAACACATTTAAACATAACCTCATGTGAACCTAAAATAAATGAATGAACGACTAAATTCATCAAAAGTCCCAGTTTCTTCTTTACCAATTTTTTTCTTTCTTTCTTTCTTTTTTTTTGAGACAGGGTCTCACTCTGTCACCCAGGCTGGAGTGCAGTGGTGTGATCACAGCTCACTTCAGCCTCAATCGATCTCCTGCTTCAGCCTCCTGAGTAGGTAGCACCACAGGCATGAGCCACCACACTCAGCTAATTTTTTTTTTTATTTTTAGTAGAGAGGAGATCTCATCATGTTGCCCAGGTTGGTCTCAAACTTCTGGGCTCAAGTGATCCGCCCGCCTCAGCCTCCAAAGTGCTGGGATTACAGGCGTGAAACACCGCACCTGGCCTATACCTATTTCTATACTCTTATAACTTACCTGTATCCTCATAATTTTTGAATTTTATAATCTTAAAAATATTTCATCGTAAAGGCAAAAATTATAGGTAATATATATTTCAGGATAAGAAAGTGCATATCTGTGTACTCATCACTCAGCTGAAGATAGCATTCTAAGATCTTTGAAATGCCCTGTGTACTCCTCTCCAGTCTCATATTTCTCTATTCCTCTACCCCCAGAAAGTATTCAGAATTATGTGTTAATCATTCCCTTGCTTGCTTTATTGCCTTACTCCAGGGATTCTCAAAAGGAAGACTATTGACATTTTGGATGGGATAATTCTTTGTTGTGGGGGACTGTGCTGTGCTGTTATGGGTTAAATTGTGTCTCTCCAAAAGATATGCTGAATTCCTAACTCCCAACACTTCAAAATGTACCCTATATGGAAATAGAGTCATTGTAGACATAATCAGTAAAGATGAGGTCATACTGGAGCAGGGTGGGCTCTTAATGCAATGTGATTGGTGTGGTATAACTCTACATGAATGGAATAATACTACATGTGTTCTTTTGTGACTTGCTATTTTTTCATCAGTGTTATATTTTTGAGATTTTAGCCAAGTTGCCATATGTAACAGTAATGTAGTGATTTCTAGGCATGTTATCAGTATGCCTAGTTCCCTTCTCTTTTTTCTATCCAGGAAAAAAGGTGGAGGCAGGTAAGTTTTCTAACTGTCTTCTTTGCATTGTAGGTTTATTTCTTGTTCATCCTAACCCTGCAGGTGAAGCTCTTCAGGATCCTAGTTTTATGGATGATCCTGAAGATCTTCCGTATCTCCTATTAAGCTCTTCACCTTAGTTTTCCCTAGGCTTTATTCTCTGTTCCCCTGATCCCATGCAACCTCTAAAATAGAACTTGAGGATCATCAGATATCCTCACTGTGAAAGCCAGATTGAGCCCTCCTCATTTCCTGAGATTCCCACTTCCCATTGCCAGCCTGGCAGTATATTTTTAAAACTCATTTTTCCAGGACTGTTATCAGGATTATTAAAACTGAAGGAGTGTGCTTTTATTCTTCCAGGAAAGAAGAGAAACAGTTTTTGAGAATAAACTGAGCAGGCTTGTAAACCTTAAGAAATATTATAGTTGAACCCTATAATATCTCAAAAAAATAGTATTTGTTAACTGTCAGCCATCATCTTTCACAACACACAGAGAAAGAGGTCTTGAGAAGTCTATATAAGCTTGCCCCTCCAGCATTTCCCTTGCCCACTACATTCCATGTCAGTCACTGTGTTAGTCTCTACTGCTGCTACAACAAAATACTTTGGACTGGGTAATTTGCAAACAACAGAAATTTGTTGCTCACAATTCTGGAGAATGGGAAGTCCAAGATCAAGGTGTAGTCAGATTAGGTGTCTGG
Organism: Homo sapiens; assembly: GCF_000001405.40. Lineage (NCBI taxonomy): Eukaryota > Metazoa > Chordata > Mammalia > Primates > Hominidae > Homo > Homo sapiens. The sequence continues at coordinate 14,959,311 of NC_000023.11, forward strand.
TGTGGGACTGTTTCTTCTAGATGGTACCCTCTTCCTGTGTTCTAACATGGTAGAAGAGGCAAACAGCTCCCTCACACCTCACACTACAGATCATTCATGAGGGATCTGCACTTACGATTTAATCACCTCCTAAGAACCCTACCTCTTAAAATGATCACATTAATGATTATGTTTCAATATATGGATTTTCAGGGGACACACTCAGACCATAGCAGTTACTAAACTGAATAATTCCATCATTAAACACATATCTATGCCTGAGGCTAGTTCCAGAAGAACTACCTTTTGCATGGTGTAGAAAATCAGAAACATTGAGGTTAGAAGCATCATCTGCATTCTTAGGCTGAATTTAGACAGGTCACATGCACCCTCTGCATTCTGTTGAGATTTTGCAGGCCATTCCATAATTTCTGGGTCCAGTAATTTTTCTGTAGATATTTTACTACAATGACTCAAAGATTTCCCTTGTAAAAGCCCCACAACAGTGCCAGAAGCCAGCTTTGAGGCATCTCTTCTCATCAACAGATTAAAGCCAAAGTGAGAGGCAAACTTTTATGCAAAATGAATAAAAATAAAACAAAACCAGGTTAGGTAGGAAAGGGTTATTACAAATGTTTTGACACATTCCGAGCCAGTAGCTCACACTCCAATGTCTATTCCACTGGTTTACATGCCTTTCTGTGAGATGTCATTTCTTTTTAATTTTTTTTTTTTTTTTTTTTTTGAGACGGAGTTTCGCTCTTGTTGCCCAGGCTGGAGTGCAGTGGTGTGATCTCGGCTCACTGCAACCTCCGCCTCCTGGGTTCAAGCGATTCTCCTGCCTCAGCCTCCAGAGTAGCTGGGATTACAGGCATGCACCACCGCGCCCAGCTAATTTTGTATTTTTAGTAGAGATGGGGTTTCTCCATATTGGTCAGGCTGGTCTCGAACTCCTGACCTCAGGTGATCTTGGCCTCCCAAAGTGCTGGGATTACAGGTGTGAGCCACCATGCCTGGCCTTAAATTTTTATTTTAAAATTATTATTATTTTTTTTAAAGGTTCAACCTCAAAATTTTTACTTGTTATGGGTACATAGTAGGTATATATATTTATGGGTTTTAAAATTTTAATTTATTTTTTTCTTTTTCAATTTTTTTTTTCTTTTAGAGACAGAGTCTTGCTCTGTCACTCAGGCTGGAGTACAGAGTTGTGATCACACCCCATTGCAGTCCTGACCTTCTGGGTTCAAGTGATTCTCCCACCACAGCCTCCCCAGTAGCTGGGATGACAGGCATGTGCTATCATGCCTGGCTAATTTTCTTATTTTTTGTAGAGACAGGGTCTGGCTATGTTGCCCACTGGTCTCAAACTCATGGCCTCAAGTGATCCTCCCACCTCAACCTTCCAAAGCTCTGGGATTACACTCATGAGCCCCCATGGCTGGCCTATGCCAGCTTCTTAACAAACACCAAGTATCTGGCCTGGGATTATCAGGAATCTCTTTTGTGGTTGATTTGACCTCATGGGTCCTCAGATACAATATCAAGTTGAATTGAATTTTATGTTTAACTCCTTTCTTGGAGGTTCCCCTCTCTCCCTCATGCATCAGCAAGTGAGCAGGTGATGGACATTTTGGTACTGCCAGGAGCATTTCTCCTGACTTAATCAGGTGCAAAGTGCCACTAAGTTTCTGTGGCTCATGTCACCCTTCAACTGACTGCTTTCAACGGATGTTGGCAAGAGGCAGACATCATGATAGAATCACACACCCTAATAACTCTCTCCAAAGCTGCACTCATTGGCCACCAAGAACAAGAAAAGCAAGACTCCATCCCATGGAAAATCTGTTATGATAGACAGCTGGACCCTTAGAACAAAACTGGTTCTTCATTAAAGTTGGAGTGGGAAAGATATTACTGGCAAAAGTTGAGCAAGGTTTATAACAAAGTACAGGTAGAATTATGCCATTCTTCTGCATAAAACCATCCAATGACTTCCTATAGTACACTTAATAAATCCCTTGGCAGGCCCTTCATGGTACATCACATACCAGGCCACCATCCACTTCCCCAATATCAGGCCTTTCCCTGATTTCTTCATTCAGTTTTTTTGGGGACAATCTTGGCTTCCTCGCTAAGATTGTTCCTGTATCATACTTGTATTTTATGGTCCTTCTCCCTGAAATTCTCTCCTCCCAGGGGATGCCCCCTTCCTTATAATTCAGTCCTCTGACCACCATTGATTCACAGAAAGGCCTTCCTAGATTACCCCTTCTCAAATGCTCCCACCCCTGATATCTTAATCTCTCTACACTTTTACCCTGCTTTATTGTCTTCAGAGACCTTAACCCTATCTAAAATCACATTATTTATTTTAACCTGATTACAGTCTGTTTTCTCCACAAGAATATATGGTGGGGCCTTGTTGATCTTGTTTACCTCTGTATCCCAAGCATCTCTCAGGGTATGGCACATAGTACATGTTCAATAAATATTTGCTGAATACTAAATAGATGTGAATAGTGAAATATATATATATACACACACACACATATATATACATATATATACATATACACACACACACACACACATATATATATACATATATATACATATACTAGACAGCATGTGCTATTATTTAACAATTTCAACCCATTTTCTTCCTCCACACACAGGGACCACAGGAAGTTTGTCTAACAATTTAAGAGGTCCAGTGTTATAATATGTGAATAAGATGGTGTTAATATTAGAACACAGCTAATTTTTTTTTTTTTTTTTTGAGACGGAGTTTCACTCTTTTTGCCCAGGCTGGAGTGCAATGGTATGATCTCGGCTCTCTGCAACCTCCGTCTCCCAGCTTCAAGCGATTCTCCTGCCTCAGCCTCCCTAGTAGCTGGGATTACAGCCATGCACCACCATGCCTGGCTAATTTTGTATTTTTTTAGTAGAGATAGGGTTTCTCCATGATGGCCAGGCTGGTCTTGAACTCCCGACCTCAGGTGATCTGCCCACCTCAGCCTCCCAAAGTGCTGGGATTACAGGCGTAAGTCACCACGCCCAGCCAAAACACAGCTAATTTTTAAGCAATGGCTCTATTACCGTTTTTTTTTTTTTTTTTTTTTGTGAGACAAGGTTTCATTCCTGTCACCCAGGCTGGAGTGCAGTGGCGGGCTTTCAACTCAATACAACCTCTGCCTCCCAGGCTCAAGAAATCCTCCTGCATCAGCCTCCCAAGTAATGGGGACTACAGGCATGCGCCACTCCCCCAGCTAATTTTTGTATTTTTAGTAGAGACGGCCGGTCGGGGGCGGGGGGGATGTTTCGCCATGTTGCCCAGGCTGGTCTCCGACTCCTCCCCTCCAGTGATCTGCCTGCCTCAGCTTCCCAAAGTGTTGAGATTACAGGCATGAGCCACCGCGCCCAGCTCTATTAGCTTTTAATCATGATCAAGTCTCTTTCGTATGGAAAAAAATAAAAAATTCCTTTAATTCCATTTCTATCTCACGTTCACTCCTAGAAACTGCCCCCTTTTCCGTTTCCTTTAAACTAAACTTTGTGTCTGAACTTCTTTCATCATTTACTCATTTCCCAGCACCACTTTTGCCAAAACAACTCTCAATAATGCCATCAGGAACTCCATCCCACAGAAACTTTTCTGCTTCTATCCCTTCCCTGTGGAATACAAAAGAAGCGCCACTATATGGAAGCCTAGACTAACGGTGCCCAATTTCGACTCATTGTGCACTGATCTAAGTAGAAAATAAAGGGAAATTTGAGTACCCACCTACTGTTATATGTTCGGTTATGTATTTATTTTTAAATTATATGCTTATAGTATAGTTTAATATAGTATGTACATTACAAATAAAAGCAAATTTGCAAATTAATATGAAAAAGGTGAAGAAAAATAGATACTAAATGTCTTGCTAATTAGGATGCTTCATATTTTAATTCACTAATATCTTAAACATGATAGATGCTTAACAAGTTCCATTCTTAATCATACTGTATGAAAACCCTTATTTCAGGTAATCTTGATGATTTTAAATTTTTCTTAGCTGATTTTTCATCAGCTTTGATTGATTTTCATTACTCATGTGACTGATGTAAATCTTATTTTCTCTCTGATGCTTGCATTATTAGTATTATCTTATTAATATTATTGTTTACTGGTATCTTTCAAAGCCACTTATACATTTCAGAGATTTAAGTCAGTTACCACTAGATAATACAATCTGTAGACAGACATTTGCAGAGGCCATCTGTCACCATACACTGATAGCAAAAAAATGAAACTAGAGGCACCACTGACCATTCCTCCTCATTGTGGGATTCCAGTACTCTCTCCAGATGTCTCATGGACAGGACAGATGGAAGGAATGAGGGGGCCAGTGTAAGCCCTTATGTGACGTACTAGAAAATCCTGTTTCCCTTCCCTTTTTTTTTTAGAGAACAATAATCTTAAATAGAAGTTTGAATTTTCCCCCTGAACTATGATCTTGAGAAGTGTGTACTCTAATTTGCAAACCTGTAGTCTAAACCAGGGGTAGGCAAACTTTGTAAAGGGCCAGAAAATAACCATTTTCAGCTTTGTGAACCATGCTCTCTTTGTTGCAACTACTCAGCTCTGCTGCTGTAGGGCAGAAACAGCCATAGCCAATACATGAATAAACAAGCACTGTGGTATAATAAGAAATAGATTTGGTCTCTGTCTCCAGTTCCTGCCACAGAGCTCATAAAATCCTTGGAATTTCCTGAGTAATAGGAGTGTCTTTTGTGAGTCATAAAGAGCCCCTTTTAATCAGACCTGAGTTTACTCTAATGAGGTGACTTAGGGTGGGGTCCCTAGATATCCTCAAGATGGGGCTGGTTGGTCACCAGAAAAACCAACTGATTGGAAATTTTACCCCAGCCACAGACTTCTGGGAAGGTGAGGAGGGAGCTGGAGATTAAGCTCTATAAAAACTCTTGAAAAAAGAGATTTGATGAATGTCAGGATTGGTGAACACATCAGGGTACTGGGAGGTTGGTGTACCCAGAGAGGGCACAGAAGCTCCATGTGCCCCCTTACCCCATAACTTGCCCTGTGCATCTCTTCCATCTGGCTCTTCCTGATTTGTATCCTTTATACTAAACTGGTAAACATTAAGTGAAGTGCTTTTTTTTGAGTTCTTTGAGCCACCCTTGCAAATTATCAAACCTGAGGAGTGGGCCGTGGGAATCCTCAATTTATAGCTGGTCGTCCAGAAGTGTGGATGGCTGGACTTGTGACTGGCATTTGAGGTGGGCATAGTCTTATGGGACTGAGCCCTTAACTTGTGGGATTTGACACTAACTCCAGGTAGTGTCAGAATTGAGTTGAATTGTAGGACATCTAGCTGGTGTCCAGAGAATTGCAGAATTATTTGGTGTGGGAAAAAATCCACATATTTGGGGTCAGAAGGGTTGTGTGAGTGTAGAGAAACAGTGTTTTCCCACAAGCATAGCTGTTGTTCCAACATTGCTTTATTTACAAAAGTGGGTGGCAACCAATGTGGCCAATAGCTGTAGTTTGCCCATCTCTTGGTAAGAACAGCAAAAACCCAGATTCTCACAGGGGGAATTTGACACAGAAGAGCCTTGCTCCCAATAATGAAAGAAATAGTACAAGATGACAAATGCTTTTAGGTTCAGAGAATTCTAAATGTTGCTAAGGGTTAGGAAAGCAGGTGCAGGCTTCCAGCTCATTAAATCAAAGCTTTGGAAAGTAAACCACCAGGTCTCAAGATTAGAAAGATTTTCATGGTGTGCATTAGGTTGAACTAGAAGAAAGTGCTGATATTTGACCATTATTGACAAGCAAAAATGGCAACTTCATATGACTGAACTTATTTGCAGAAATAATACTAACGGTTAGGTTTAATTGAGTGCTTACTATATTTTTGACACTGGACCAATATTTTGCATGCATTCTTTTACTTATTTCTTATATCAAATCTGTAAGGTCACTACTATTATTTGCACTTTCCCAATAAGGAAATCAATAGCTGTTTACATACCCTGCCCAGAATCTCACAGCTAGAAAATGCTGGAATAGAAAATACTGTAACTGAACTTAGGCTTATTGAATCAAAAGTCCTTCCTCTTAGCCATCAAAAGTTTTCATGTTTAAAAACAATTTTTTTTTTGTAGAGATGGGTGTCTTGCTATGTTGCCCAGGCTGGTCTTGAACTCCTGACCTCCAGCAATCCTCCCACCTTGGGCTCCCAAAGTGCTGGTGAGCCACTGCTCACAGACATGAGCCACTGCACCTGGCCTGAAAGTAATCACTTTGGAAAAGTGAGGTTATGAGTGAAGAAGAAAAAGGGCACAGTATTATTTTGATGCACTATTATACAAATGAGCCAAATATGACCTCTGTATAATATGACCTCTGTATAATGGCCCCTATGTTGACCTCTGTATAATATGACCTTTGTATAATGGCCCCAAATATGACCTCTGTATAATGGCCCCTATGTTGCTTACTTCTTCACAGAGTGCTGAGAGGCTACAAGTGCCAAACTCAAATTCTTATGCATCCAGTTATTTTAAGTATAGCTCTCCACAAGCATATTTTATAGCATATTTTATATCAACTTATATATCTCCATGGTTTTATTTTTATATTTGTATGCAGGAGAATAACTTTATTACAATGATTATTTGCTTTTTTAAAGTTTTTTTAAAATTATACGTTAAGTTCTGGGATACACGTGCAGAACATGCAGGTTTGTTACATAGGTATACACGTGCCATGGTGGTTTGCTGCACCCATCAACCCATCATCTACATTAGGTATTTCTCCTAATGCTATCCCTCCCCTCGCCCCCCACCCCGACAGGTTCCAGTGTGTGCTGTTCCCCTCCCTGTGTCCATGTGTTCTCGTTGTTCAACTCCTACTTATGAGTGAGAACATGCAGTGTTTGGTTTTCTGTTCCTGTGTTACTTTGCTGAGAATGACGGTTTCCAGCTTCATCCATTTCCCTGAAAAGGACATGAACTCATCCTTTTTGTGGCTGCACAGTATTCCATGGTGTATATGTACCGCATTTTCTTTATCCAGTCTATCATTGGTGGACATATGGGTTGGTTCCAAGTCTTTGCTATTGTGAACAGTGCTGCAATAAACATACATGTTCATATGTCTTTATAGTAGAATGATTTATAATCCTTTGGGTATATACCAGTAATGGGATTGCTGGATCAAATGGTATTTCTGGTTCTAGATCCTTGAGGAATCGCCACACTGTCTTCCACAATGGTTGAACTAATTTACACTCCCACCAACAGTGTAAAAGCATTCCTATTTCTCCACATCCTCTCTAGCATCTGTTGTTTCCTGACTTTTTAGTGATCGCCATTCTAACTGGCATGAGATGGTAACTCATTGTGGTTTTGATTTGCATTTCTCTAATGACCAGTGATGATGAGATTTTTTTTTCATATTTTTGTTGGCTGCATAAATGTCTTTTTTTTTTTTTTTTTTTTTTGAGACAGAGTCTCGCACTGTCGCCCAGGCTGGAGCTCAGTGGCATGATCTTGGCTCACTGCAAACTCCACCTCCCAGGTTCAAGTGATTCTCCTTGCCTCAGCCTCCCAAGTAGCTGGGATTACAGGTGCCTGCCACCATGCCCGGATTTTTTTTTTTTGTATTTCTAGTAGGGACAGGGTTTCACTATGTTGGCCAGGCTGGACTCGAACTCCTGACCCTGTGATCCACCTGTCTCAGCCTCCAAAAGTGCTGGGATTACAGGTGTGAGCCACCACGCCCAGCCATAAATGTCTTCTTTTGAGAAGTGTCTGTTCATATCTTTCACCCACTTTTTGATGGGTTTTTTTTTCTTGTAAATTTGCTTAAGTTCTTTGTAGATTCTAGATATTAGCCCTTTGTCAGATGGATAGATTGCAAAAATTTTCTCCCATCCTGTAGGCTGCCTGTTCACTCTGATGATAGTTTCTTTTGCTGTGCAGAAGCTCTTTAGTTTATTTATATCCCATTTGTCAATTTTGGCTTTTCTTGGCATTGCTTTTCGTGTTTTAGTCATGAAGTCTTTGCCTATGCCTATGTCCTGAATGGTATTGCCTAGGTTTTCTTCTAGGGTTTTTATGGTTTTAGATCTTACGTTTGAGTCCTTAATCCATCTTGAGTTAATTTTTGTATAAGGTGTAAGGAAGGGGTTCAGTTTCAGTTTTCTGCATATGGCTAGCCAGTTTTCCCAGCACCATTTATTAAATAGGGAATCCTTTCCCCATTTCTTGGTTTTGTCATGTTTGTCAAAGACCAGATGGTTGTAGATGTGTGGTATTATTTCTGAGGGCTCTGTTCTGTTCCATTGGTCTCTATCTCTGTTTTGGTACCAGTACCATGCTGTTTTGGTTACTGTAAACTTGTACTATAGTTTGAAGTCAGGTAGCATGATGCCTCCAGCTTTGTTCTTTTGGCTTAGGATTGTCTTGGCTATACGGGCTGTTTAAGTTTAAAGCAGTTTTTTTTCAAATTCTACGAAGAAAGTCAATGGTAGCTTGATGGGCATAGCATTGAATCTATGAATTACTTTGGGCAATATGGCCATTTTCACAATATGGATTCTTCCTATCCATGAGAATGGAATGTTTTTCCATTTGTTTGTGTCTTCTCTTATTTCCTTGAGCAGTGGTTTGTGGTTCTCCTTGAAGAGGTCCTTCACATACCTTGTAAGTTGGATTCCTAGGTATTTTATTCTCTTTGTAGCAATTGTCAATGGGAGTTAGCTCATGATTTGGCTCTCTGTTTGTCTGTTATTGGTTTATAGGAATGCTTGTGATTTTTGCACATTGATTTTGTATCCTGAGACTTTGCTGAAGTTGCTTATCAGCTTAAGGAGATTTTGGGCTGAGATGATGGGGTTTTCTAAATATACAATCATGTCATCTGCAAACAGAGAAAATTTGACTTCCTCTCTTCCTATTTAAATACCCTTTATTTCTTTCTCTTGCCTGATTGCCCTGGCCAGAACTTCCAATACTATGTTGAATAGGATCCATGGTTTTTTTTTTTAATTAAACATTTTAACATGTTTATTTTGAGAAATCAGTATAAAATGTTTTAATATTCTTTTATGTATATCTACTGTATTTCAAAAAATGTTTAAAATAAATACCAGAAGACAATAATTTGCCTGAAGACCTGTCTCATCAAAAAGAGAAACTGAAATTTTAACCAAATAATTTGAGTTTTAGTGCATGTGCCCTGTTAAAGTAAATAGAGACTGGGCCTGAAGAATCCTTGGGAAGACAAAGCCAGTTAGACCTCATAAATGACCTTAACCTTGCTTGATTTGCAAACATAAGCAAACATTAACTTGGACTATTTCTTATAAATGCCTATATTAGAGAAAAAAATGAAACTTAAGGCTAACCAATCAGAAGCCATAAATTAACTTATATAACTAGGGACTTTCCTGCAGGATACACAAATAAGGCAACTCCATAACTGTACCCAATCACATATTCTCCTTGCTTTACTTTCTTATTCATCTTATGAAGGCCTCCCCTTGCATTCCCTCTGCAGAACTTTTGAACCACTTCCAATTTGAAGCTGTCCAAATCATGAATTGCTGTTTGTTCAAGTAAACCCTTTAAAATTTTTACTGTGCCCAAGTTTACCTTTTGACAGTTCTTAATCTTTATACTTGTATCTTTTTAAAAATTTTTTTTTATTATACTTTAAGTTCTAGGGTACATGTGCAAAACATGCAGGTTTGTTACATATGTATACATTTGCCATGTTGGTGTGCTGCACTCATTAACTTGTCATTTACATTAGGTATATCTCCTAATGCTATCCCTCCTCTCTCCCCCACGACAGGCCCTGGTGTGTGATGTTCCCCACCCTGTGTCCAAGTGTTCTCATTGTTCAGTTCCCACCTATGAGTGGGATCACATGCAGTGTTTGGTTTTCTGTCCTTGTGATAGTTTGCTCAGAATGATGGTTTCCAGCTTCATCCATGTCTCTACAAAGGACATGAACTCATCCTTTTTTATGGCTGCAAAGTATTCCATGGTGTATATGTGCCACGTTTTCTTAATCAAGTCTATCATTGATGGACATTTGGGTTGGTTCCAAGTCTTTGCTATTGTGAATAGTGCCACAGTAAACATATGTGTGCATGTGTCTTTATAGCAGCATGATTTATAATCCTTTGGGTATATACCCAGTAATGGGATGGCTGGGTCAAATGGTATTTCTAGTTCTAGATCCTTGAGGAATCACCACACTGTCTTCCACAATGGTTGAACTAGTTTGCAGTCCCACCAACAGTGTAAAAGTATTCCTATTTCTCCACATCCTCTCCAGCACCTGTTGTTTCCTGACTTTTTAATGATCACCATCCTAACTGGTGTGAGATGGTATCTCATTGTGGTTTTGATTTGCATTTCTCTGATGGCCAGAGATGATGAGCATTTTTTCATGTGTCTGTGGGCTGCATAAATGTGTTCCTTTGAGAAGTGTCTGTTCATATCCTTTGCCCACTTTTTGATGGGGTTGTTTGATTTTTTCCTGTACATTTGTTTAAGTTCTCTGTAGATTCTGGATATTAGCCCTTTGTCAGATGGGTAGATTGCAAAAATTTTCTCCCATTCTGCAGGTTGCCTCTTCACTCTGATGGTAGTTTCTTTTGCTGTACAAAAGCTCTGTAGTTTAATTAGATCCCATTTGTCAATTTTGGCTTTTGTTGCCATTGCTTTTGGTGTTTTAGACATGAAGTCCTTGCCCATGCCTATGTCCTGAATGGTATTGCCTAGGTTTTCTTCTAGGGTTTTTATGGTTTTAGGTCTAACATTTAAGTCTTTAATCCATCTTGAATTAATTTTTGTATAAGGTGTAAGGAAGGAATCCAGTTTCAGCTTTCTACACATGGCTAGCCAGTTTTCCCAGCACCATTTATTAAATAGGGAATCCTTTCCCCATTGCTTGTTTTTCTCAGGTTTGTCAAAGATCAGATAGTTGTAGATATGCAGCATTATTTCTGAGGGCTCTGTTCTGTTCCATTGGTCTCTATCTCTGTTTTGGTACCAGTACCATGCTGTTTTGGTTACTGTAGCCTTGTAGTATTGTTTGAAGTCAGGTAGCATGATGCCTCCAGCTTTGTTCTTTTGGCTTAGGATTGTCTTGGCAATGTGGGCTCTCTTTTGGTTCCATATGAACTTTAAAGTAGTTTTTTCCAATTCTGTGAAGAAAGTCATTGGTAGCTTGATGGGGATGGCATTGAATCTATCAATTACCTTGGGCAGTATGGCCATTTTCAGGATACTGATTCTTCCTATCCATGAGCATGGAATGTTCTTCCATTTGTTTGGGTCCTCTTTTATTTCATTGAGCAGTGGTTTGTAGTTCTCCTTGAAGAGGTCTTCCACATCCCTTGTAAGTTGGATTCCTAGGTATTTTATTCTCTTTGAAGCAATTGTGAATGGGAGTTCACTCATGATTTGGCTCTCTGTTTGTCTGGTATTGGTGTATAAGAATGCTTGTGATTTTTGCACATTGATTTTGTATCCTGAGACTTTACTGAAGTTGCTTATCAGCTTAAGGAGATTTTGGGCTGAGACAATGGGGTTTTCTAAATATACAATCATGTCATCTGCAAACAGAGACAATTTGACTTCCTCTTTTCCTAATCGAATACACTTTATTTCTTTCTCCTGCCTGATTGCCCTGGCCAGAACTTCCAACACTATGTTGAATAGGAGTGGTGAGAGAGGGCATCCCTGTCTTGTGCCAGTTTTCAAAGGGAATGCTTCCAGTTTTTGTCCATTCAGGATGATATTAGCTGTGGGTTTGTCATAAATAGCTCTTATTATTTTGAGATATGTCCCATCAATACCTAGTTTATTGAGAGTTTTTAGCATGAAGGGCTGTTGAATTTAATCAAAGGCCTTTTCTGCATCTATTGAGATAATCATGTGGTTTTTGTCTTTGGTTCTGTTTATATGATGGATTACGTTTATTGATTTGCATATGTTGAACCAGCCTTGCATCCCAGGGATGAAGCCCACTTGATCATGGTGGATAAGCTTTTTGATGTGCTGCTGGATTCAGTTTGCCAGTATTTTACTGAGGATTTTTGCATCAATGTTCATCAGGGATATTGGTCTAAAATTCTCTTTTTTTATTGTGTCTCTGCCAGGTTTTTGTATCAAGATGATGCTGGCCTCATAAAATGAGTGAGGGAGGATTCCCTCTTTTTCTATTGATTGGAATAGTTTCAGAAGGAATGGTACCAGCTCCTCTTTGTACCTCTGGTAGAATTCGGCTTTGAATTCATCTGGTCCTGAACTTTTTTTGGTTGTAGGCTATTAATTATTGCCTCAATTTCAGAGCCTGTTATTGGTCTATTCAGATTCAACTGCTTCCCGGTTTAGTCTTGGGAGGGTGTATGTGTCGAGGAATTTATCCATTTCTTCTAGATTTTCTACTTTATTTGCATAGAGGTCTTTACAGTATTCTCTGATGGTAGTTGGTATTTCTGTGGGATCAGTGGTGATATCCCCTTTATCATTTTTTATTGCATCTATTTGATTCTTCTCTCTTTTCTTCTTTATTAGTCTTGCTAGCAGTCTATCAATATTGTTGATCTTTTCAAAAAACCAGCTCCTGCATTCACTGATTTTTTAAGGGTTTTTTGTGTCTCTATCTCCTTCAGTTCTGCTCTGATCTTAGTTATTTCTTGCCTTCTGCTAGCTTTTGAATGTGTTTGCTTTTGCTTCTCTAGTTCTTTTAATTGTGATGTTAGGGTGTCAATTTTAGATCTTTCCTGCTTTCTCTTGTGGGCATTTAGTGGTATAAATTTCCCTCTACACACTGCTTTAAATGTGTCCCAGAGATTCTGATATGTTGTGTCTTTGTTCTTATTGGTTTCAAAGAACATCTTTATTTCTGCCACATTTTCGTTATGTACCCAGTAGTTATTCAGGAGCAGGTTGTTCAGTTTCCATGTAGTTGAGCGGTTTTGAGTGAGTTTCTTAATCCTGAGTTCTAGTTTAATTGCACTGTGGTCTGAGAGACAGTTTGTTATGATTTCTGTTCTTTTACATCTGCTGAGGAGTGCTTACTTCCAACTATGCGGTGAATTTTGGAATAAGTGCGATGTGGTGCTGAGAAGAATGTATATTCTGTTGACTTGGGGTGGAGAGTTCTGTAGATGTCTGTTAGGCTCACTTGGTGCAGAGCTGAATTCAATTCCTGGGTATCCTTGTTAACTTTCTGTCTTGTTGATCTGTCTAATGTTGACAGTGGGGTGTTAAAGTCTCCCATTATTATTGTGTGGGAGTGTAAGTCTCTTTGGAGGTCTCTAAGGACTTGCTTTATGAATCTGGGTGCTCCTGTATTGGGTGCATAGATATTTAGGATAGTTAGCTCTTCTTGTTGAATTGATCCTTTACCATTATGTAATGGCCTTCTTTGTCTCTTTTGATCTTTGTTGGTTCAAAGTCTGTTTTATCAGAGACTAGAATTGCAACCTCTGCTTTTTTGTTTTGTTTTGTTTTCCATTTGCTTGGTAGATCTTCCTCCATCCCTTTATTTTGAGCATATGTGTGTCTCTGCACGTGAGATGGGTCTTCTGAATACAACACATTGATGGGTCTTGACTCTTTATCCAATTTGCCAGTCTTTTAATTGGAGCACTTAGCCCATTTACATTTAAGGTTATTATTGTTATGTGTGAATTTGATCCTGTCATTATGATGTTAGCTGGTTATTTTGCTCATTAGTTGATGCAGTTTCTTCCTAGCATCAATGGTCTTTACAATTTGGCATGTTTTTGCTGGGGCTGGTACCGGTTGTTCCTTTCCATGTTTAGTGCTTCCTTCAGGAGCTCTTGTAAGGCAGGCCTGGTGGTGACAAAATCTCTCAGCATTTCCTTGTCTGTAAAGGATTTTATTTCTCCTTTACTTATGAAGCTTAGTTTGGCTGGAAATGAAATTCTGGGTTGAAAATTCTTTTCTTTAAGAATGTTGAATATTGGCCCCCACTCTCTTCTGGCTTGTAGAGTTTCTGCCAAGACATCCACTTTTAGTCTGATGGGCTTCCCTTTGTGGGTAACCCGACCTTTCCCTCTGGCTGCCCTTAACATTTTTTCCTTCATTTCAGCTTTGGTGAATCTGACAATTATGTGTCTTGGAGCTGCTCTTCTTGAGGAGCATCTTTGTGGCATTCTCTGTATTTCCTGAATTTGAATGTTGGCCTGCCTTGCTAGGTTGGGGAAGTATTGCTGGATAATATCCTGAAGAGTGTTTTCCAACTTGGTTCCATTATCCCCATCACTTTCAGGTACACCAATCAGACGTAGATTTGGTCTTTTCACATATTCCCATATTTCTTGGAGGCTTTGTTCATTTCTTTTTACTCTTTTTTCTCTAAACATCTCTTCTCGCTTCGTTTCATTCATTTGATCTTCAATCACTGATACCCTTTCTCCCAGTTGATCAAATCAGCTACTGAAGCTTGTGCATGCGTCATGTAGTTCTCATGCCATGGTTTTCAGCTCCATCAGGTCATTTAAGGTCTTCTCTACGCTGTTTATTCTAGTTAGCCATTCATCTAATCTTTTTTCAAGTTTTAACTTCTTTGTGATGGGTTCAAACATCCTCCTTTAGCTCTGAGAAGTTCGTTATTACCAATCGTCTGAAGCCTTCTTCTCTCAACTCGTCAAAGTCATTCTCCGTCCACCTTTGTTCCATTGCTGGCAAGGAGCTGCATTCCTTTGGAGGAGAAGAGGCACTCTGAATTTTAGAATTATCAGCTTTTCTGCTCTAGTTTCTCCCCATCTCTGTGGTTTTATCTACCTTTGGCCTTTGATGATGGTGACGTACAGATGGGGTTTTGGTGTGGATGTCCTTTCTGTTTGTTAGTTTTCCTTCTAACAGTGAGGACCCTCAGCTGCAGGTCTGTTGGATTTTGTTGGAGGTCCACTCCAGACCCTGTTTGCCTGGGTATCACCAGCGGAGGCTGCAGAACAGCAAATATTGCAGAACGGCAAATGTTGCTGCCTGATCCTTCCTCTGGAAGCTTCGTTTCAGAGGGGCACCCGGCCTTATGAGGTGTCAGTTGGCCCCTACTGGGAGGTGCCTCCCAGTCAGGCTACTTGGGGTTCAGGGACCCACTTGAGGAGGCAGTCTGTCTGTTCTCAGATCTCAAACTCCATGCTGGGGGAACCACTACTCTCTTCAAAGCTGTCAGACAGGGACGTTTAAGTCTGCAGAAGTTTCTGCTGCCCTTTGTTCAGCTATGACTCGCCCCTTGAGGTGGAGTCTACAGAGGCAGGCAGGCCTACTTGAGTTGCAGTGGGCTCCACCCAGTTCGAGCTTCCTGGTGGCTTTGTTTAACTACTCAAGCCTCAGCAATGGCGGACGCCCCTCCCCAAGCCTTGCTGCTGCCTTGCAGTTCGATCTCAGACTGCTGTGCTAGCAGTGAGCGAGGCTCTGTGGGCATGGGACCCTCCGAGCCATGCACAGGATATAATCTCCTGGTGTGCCGTTTGCTAAGACCATTGGAAAAGTGCAGTCTTAGGGTGGGAGTGTCCTGATTTTCCAGGTACCGTTTGTCACAGCTTCCCTTGGCTAGGAATTCCCCGACCCCTTGCACTTCCCGGATGAGGCGATGCCCCGCCCTGGTTCAGCTCACGCTCTGTGGGCTGCACCCACTGTTCGACAAGCCCCAGTGAGATGAACCCGGTACCTCAGTTGGAAATGCAGAAATCACCTGTCTTCTGTGTTGCTCATATTGGGAGCTGTAGACTGGAGCTGTTCCTATTCGGCCATCTTGGAACCTCTACTTGTATCTTATGGAAAGTTTTACCCTTTTTAAAAAAGATGTGGACACTTCCAGGTAGGCTTTTCTCTGCTCTTTAATAAAGGAGACCTTGATATTTGCCTTTAATGGTCAGTGTTGTAGATGAGTTAATTTAACATGAAATATTTAATTTTGCTTTGTTATTTAAAAATTCTTCTGCTTAAATTAATAATATTCTATTACCTTGTTCACTTGGTATTTTATAAATGCTATAGGAAGAATGTATTTGGGTCACTACATTTTATTTTCAAGATAGAAAAAACTTACCATATTTAAACTTAGAATAGTAATGTAAATTCACCATAGATCTTTTTCTCACTCTTAGTTAAGTCATTTTTTAATAGATTGCCTATGTCCTATTAGAATTTGGCCCCATACAGTAGTAGTATATATATTCCAGCTCCAAGAGGAAATATAGATTATACTGCCTAGCATCCAGTTTCATATGGTTGATGAATGAATCCCGTCAAATTCTACATTTTTCAAATAGTCTCTATACATTTTCTGTCATGCTGAAATTGTATGAGGACATATTTAAATGCATTATAAAATTTGTTCTCTGAAAAGAATGAGAAATAAATATTATGATGCTTTAGAGCTAAAGTAGTGCTGGAAAAAGTTACTAAAGCCCTTCAGATGTTAGCTTTGCAGGTCTTCATATTGAGGATGATGAACCTTTGATTTTAAAGACAAATTGTGATAAAAGAATCCTATACTGCTATAAAACTGATGGCGCCTATCAAAGCATTGAGAATTTACATTTTGTAAAATACCCATGAGGGCAACTTAGGACCTAACTAGTAAAGAAGGAGGTTCTGTATT
Source organism: Homo sapiens (assembly GCF_000001405.40). NCBI lineage: Eukaryota > Metazoa > Chordata > Mammalia > Primates > Hominidae > Homo > Homo sapiens. The sequence continues at coordinate 14,975,968 of NC_000023.11, forward strand.
TCGTAAACTTCCTCCAGGATAATTTCAAACGATGCCATTGCGATATGAATATTTGAAGCCTTTGGTGCCATTCTGTTCCAAGTGTGTTCTAAAGCAAGCAGAAACCCTCCAAAAGGATCAGAAGAAATACTCTTCTGTATTAGAATTATTTATCTTTAGAGATAGTTGCCAGAAATTGCTTTCTATAGCTAACTACTAATTTTTTCAGTCTTGCAAGTTTTTAGCCTGATGAGTTGCAAAATGATCAGAAATTTAAAACTTATTGATATTTGAGTTGTGTTTTCATTTATGTGACTATCCTTTTGCAATTTTCTATATAGCCACAGAAGACAGGGTTCCATATGAAACCAAACCCTCTAGAGGACTAATATTATTCTCAGATTAATGAATGCTTCTTCTTTTGATAAAGCCCCCAAAGAGGAAAAATAGAAAGAATGTTTGCAAAGATAAAGGATCATTGAAAGTATATTGAAATGGATTTTATAAGCCTTACATAAAAGACTATTTAAAGATTTATCTCTTCTAGATTTTTAGTGAGAGTACAGGTATGCAATATTTTAGAGAAAATAAAATATTCTGGTTAGTCAAAGTTCTGATTCCTAGAACTTGAACAAGACATAGAATATCTTAATTTAAGGAATCAGGATTCAGGAAGATAATAATAATGCTGTTTTTTTTTCAAACCACAAATGGTCAATAAATAATGCTGCTTTTAAATGGAGTCTAATAAGAAATATCATTGAGTTTTTTATGTGTTAATCACTTTAGAGTGTTTGTGTGATAATCATTCTAGTATGCTAATCATTATCTGTTTTAATTCAATATTACACATATTGTAAACTTGGTTCTGTAGAAAAGTATAATTTAACTTGCCTTTGTACTTGTGAAAAATAAGATGGACTAATTGATAGAAATTTACAAGTCATAAAATGGTTGCTAAGTAAACTTATTACATGAAATGAAAAAAGAAGGGAAAATGCTGACAATAGAGCTGCATAGAAATTAAAATAACAGATATATTAAAATTGAATAGATTTTAGTGAATTACTTTAATCTTTTTTCAGTTTTCCAGGTAGCCGGTCACTATGAGCCACCAAGGAAATTGAGACCATAAAGTGCACACAGATAAAATGTACACATAAGTGCTTCCAGTTTCTCATGAGGGTGAACTGGATAATTAAAATCAACCTTCCTATTGAATATATAAAAACCTTTTTCAAATTAATAACAAAAAGACAGACAATGCAAAGGAAAAATGGGAAAACCACCTGAACAGGCACATCCCAATAGAGGAAATAGTAGCATATGGAAAAATGCTCAACTTCATTGGTAATTAGGTAAATGCAAATTAAAACCACAATGTACTGGCACTACATACCCATTGGAGTGGCAAAAATAAAACATCTGATAATACACATGTATGAGTATGGTGAACATTTTTTAAATATATAGCATTGCCAAGTATTTCTTTCAGACTGAGTTAGTTTCTTTTTATTGTCTTGGTAATCTCTTCCAGAGTTAACTACTCTGTTGTAGGTGAGGAAATGTATAAGGCTCCACTTAAAATGTTGGCATTGATATTAGCATGGTCTTTTCCTTTACTGCAGTTCAGAATTAAAACTTTTTGTTTTTTTTAGATTCTAGTCCCAAAAGTAGTTTCCACTGTACAAGTTACCTGATGACAGTCTTATATTTTCTAGTAGTGGCTTACAACCAGGCTCTAGCTTCTCCAGGAACATTACAGAATAGATTTAGTTTAAGTATGTATTAAACTAGGAGGCATTCTGTCAAATGAGTTTAAATGCATTTTATTTTTAGACAACTGACATTTTTTTTTCTTAAAAACAATGCCTCTACTCCAAGTAAATCACAGTCACAATAAATGAGATGCTCAAGATGATATCAGTCCTAGTGTTGTGTGGATGACAAGCAGCAGCCAGTTATGATGACAGGCAATTGATCCAAAGTAACTGCCAAATTTGTTAATACTTTTCCATTTCTAAACCATCCTTAAAGAAGACCATATATAGATCATACTATTCTCATGGTAGTCCAATAGAGCTACCATACCATTAGTATTCATGTTTTCACCAATGAAGAATTGGTAGTTTTTGAAATTAGCAAAGATGTGCTTGGTTTGTTCTGCAGGCCCTGTCATAAAAGCTTTTACTCTTTCTGGTTTCTGTTCTTCAAGTCTGCCTTTAATTGATTTCATGTAATGTTTGATGTACTTCTTGCAGGCTTCTTTTGTGAAGCTGGTTTCCTACAAGTGATGGTTCATGACAATATCAACACCAGTGATGACTGTGCTTTTGGTACCTTCACCCTTGAGGCCTTCAGTGGAAGCATTTCCACCAGTGAGTCATCAATGTTACCCTCTGTCTTATCAACTATTTTTCCCTCTACCTCCAAGCACAGCTGGTCCATGATCTTTCATATTTTGTAAATGTCAGAGAACATCTCATTGTGTCTGATGAGGTCCCAGTAGATAATCATAATGGTGGCTGAAGGGAGACTGTGCTAGCTTAGCAGGAGCCTGGAGCTCAGAGCAAGTGTACTGCAGCCACAGTGGCATTCAAGAGAGGGAATAAGGGAGGGGAGTGGGCAGAAAAGTGGCATTGCCAATTATTAACAAGGATGTGAAGCAATGAGAACTCTCATGTACTGTTGATGGGAATATGCATTGTAAAATCACTTTTGAATAATGTCTGATAGTACATCTGAACATGTGTATAGTCTATGACCTAGCAATTCCATTTATAGGTGTTTGTATCTCACATAAATGCATGCTTACATGCACCAGGGAACATGCATTAGAATATTCATAATAACATAGTTAATAGAAGCTCCACACAGGAACAACTCAATAGTAGAAATGATAAAAAAAAATAGGGGTAGGTTTATATCATGGTATACTATACAGGAAGCAATGAATAAACTACATAGATGGATAGCTCTTAAACACAAAAGACTGAGCTAAAGAAGCTAGGCTAATACTATATGATCCCACTGACACATATTTTTAAAATAGGCCACATTAAACAATTATTAGCAGCATGAAAGCCAACATAGTGGTCATCGTAGGGGGTAGGCTAGTATTATGGTCAGAAAGAGACAGGTGGAGGGCTTCTATGGGGAAGATGCCATTCTATTGTTTTGGCATGGAGGAAGACACATTGGTGTTTTTTAATAGTTTGTTAAACTACATGTTTATGTTTTATGACCATTTTGTATGTTCTATCACAAGATGATACATTATAGAAACTTACCTCACTGATATTTCAGAAAGATGAGTTTATTCATGCCATAAATATTTAATGGGTGCTGTCTTAGTTCATTTTGTGTTGCTATAAAGAAATACCTGAGACTAGGTAATTTATAAAGAAAAGAGGTTCACTTAGCTCACGGTTCTCCTGGTTGGAAAGTTCAAGATTGGGCATCTGCCTCTGGCAAGGGCCTCAAGATGTTTGCACTCATGGTGGAAGGTGAAGGAGAGCTGTTATGTGCAGAGAGCACATGGCAAGAAAGGAAGCGAGAGAGAGAGCAGGAAGGTGCCAGGCTCTTTTTAACAACCAGCTCTTGTGGAAGCGAATAGAGTGACAACTCACTCAAGCCTGAGGGAGGACATTAATCTGTTTATGAGGAATCTACCCCCATGATCCAAAACCTCCCATTAGGCCCCAACTTCAACATTAGGGATCAAATTTCAACCTGAGATTTGAAGGGTCCAAACATCAAAAGCATAGCAGACGCCTAGTGTACCTGGGCCTCTGTTAGAGATAGCTTATTTCAAACCAGCTGAGCCAAAATAGAACAAAGGTAGACTAAGGGAGTTTTACTTCTTTTGTTTAGTTAGAGTTATCAACAAGGAGTATGATTGGAAAATGCTCTAGTTAAAGATGAAAGGAACAAAAAAGTAGGTGACTGAATAGGGTCAAAAGACTACAAATGGTCCCAGAAGCCTTTAACATCTGGGAGGGACTTTATTCACTAATGAATTTTCTTTTCAGTTTTGAGCTCTATCCTCAAGCTTGCTTGAAAATTACTTGACTTTTTTCTCCAATTCTTTGTACTTTTTTTCCACATCATCTGTAAGATGTTTCTATTAATTTCCTTAAACTACTGACCAAGCATTTGCTATTTGGAGAAAAATAAAAGAAATCAAATTCAATCATTTTGAAAGCCCCTGACTAAGTGTTGGAGCCTACGGGGTAAACACAAAAATCAAACTTGAGAACTTTTGACCTTCCTCTCACTGATGTGTGTTGAAAGCAATTATGTGAATTTGTATTTCTGGCCTGGAAAAAGGAAGAAAAACAATAACAACAAAAACACTTGTCTAAAACTAAATTTTCTGCAAACAGCTTACTGTGCCATTTTTGACAGCTTCCTCTACTACTATAATTTATAACTTTGGATATGACAAGAGATGTTTTTTAGCAAAGTTTGCGACTCTTGAGTTAAGAAGTTTAGAAGTTGACCCCTGAACAAGGCAGTAGGTCTTTAGTCAAAATGTACTTCTACATCAACCAGTATACTGGCTAGAAGAATACAGTATTATAATGAATCACAATTTGCTAAAATTTTATTGTGAGTGGCAAAGAAGACTAAGTTAAAATGCAAATCCCTGAATTAAAGCAAGCAAATGTGTGTTTTACCACTGCAGCTAGGTAAGAGTGGGCAGCCAAGAAACTTGGAATAGATTTAATTGTCATAAAGACTATGAATAAAGTATGATGGCTGAGATGAAAGTACTCTTATCTCTGTTAAAATACCTTGCTATATGCTGTTTAAGTACCTTTTAAAAGCATGCCCTGGGAAGCTTAGATAGTAACTTCAAATCTTTTCAGAAAGGCACATCTACTATTCGCACTTAGTGTGTGAATCAACTATGGTTGCTAAGAGACCAGAACTTTAAATTAGTTCTACTTTCAAAGGGCAGGGTTAGGAGAAAGAAATCACTTTCTCCTAACTGGGAAAAGGAGGTGTGCAATTTAATGCTAAACAGTAAAGGGTGTCACTATTCCATCTTATGGTTTGTTTGTATGTTGCTGGAAATCATTTAGAAATACATGCCCACTAATTCCTGGTGAAACATTTTGCACCAAAAAAATGTTAATTAAGAAAAACTGATGTCTGTTCTTTGATTAAAATATATGAAGAGAGTTAAGAGTATTTTTTTTCTAGCAAGATGGAGAAACTTCCAACATGTCAATCTCATAGTTGTCCTGTTTCAATCCAGTGACCCTCACTTCCCCATCTACTTAAGCCTTCTATGATTCTTGTCACTTTTAAAAACATACCACTGCCTGAAACTTTTCTACCTCTAAAATTTTGGATTCTGAAGTTCCTCTTTCAGTTCACAACTTCCTATGAAATGATTCTTTCATTCTCTTACTTTATGACAAGACATGATGGAGAGTGACAGAGTCGTCAAATTTTGACTCTTAGGTTGTCTGCCTTTAGCACTTGAGAAGATTGTAGAGGAAATCTACTAAGTGATAATGGAAACACTACATACCAAAACCTATGTAATACAGTGAAAGCAGTATAAAAGGGTAGTTGATAGCTATAAGTTCTTATATAAGAAAGTAAAAAAACTTCAAATAAACAACATAATAATGCATCTTTAAGAACTAGAAAAGCAAGGACAAATGAAACTCAAAGTTAGTAGAAGAAAAGAAATAATAAAGATCAGAGCAGAAATAAATAACATTGAAACAAAACACTACAAAAGATTAATTAAAAGTTTTTTTTGAAAAGATAAACAAATTTGACAAACCTTTAGCCAGACTAAGAAAAAAGAGAAAAGACTCAAATAAATAAAATCAGAGATGAAAGAAGAGACATTACAACCAATACAGCAGACATTCAAGTGATCATTAGAGGCCACTACAAGGAAGTATATGCCAATAAATTGGAAAATTTAGGCTACATGGATAAATTCCCAGACACATACAACCCACTGAGATTGAACTATGAAGAAATACAAAACCTGAACAGACTGATAATAAGTAATGCAACTGAAGCCATACTAGAGTATCCCAGCAAAGAAATGCCCAGGAACCTATGGCTTCACTGCTGAATTTTACCAAACATTCAAGGAACTAACACCAATCCAACTCAAACTATTCAAAAAAATAGAAGAGGAGAGAATACTTCCAAAAGTGTTCTATGAGGCCAGTATTACCCTGATACCGAAACCAAAGACATATTCAAAAAAGAAAACTACAAGCCAATATCCCCGATGAATACTGATGCAAAAATCCTCAACAAAATACTAGCAAACCAAATTCAACAACATGTTAAAAAGATCATTCATCATGACTAAGTAGGATTTATCCCAGGGATGCAAGGATGGTTCCATGTTTGCAAATCAGTCAGTGTGATACATCATATCAAAAGAATAAAAGACAAAAAATATATGATCATTTCAATTGATGCTGAAAAAGCATTTGATAAAATTCAACATCCTTTCATGATAAAAACTCTTAAAAATCTGCGTATAGAAGGAACATACATCAACATAATAAAAGCCATATATGACAGACCCACAGCTAGTATCATACTGAATAGGGAAAAACTGAAAGCCTTTCCTCTAAGATGCGGAACATGACAAGAATGCCCATTTTCACCAGTTATTCAACATGATACTGGAATTCCTAGCTAGAGCCATCAGACAAGAGAAAGAAAGAAAGGGCATCCACATTGGAAAGGAAGAAGTCAACTTATCCTTGTATTCTGATGATATCATTTTATATTTGGAAAAACCTAAAGACTCCACCAAAAAGCTATTAGAACTGATAAACAAATTCAGTAAAGTTGCAGGATACAAAAATCACTACACAAAAATCAGTAGCATTTCTATATGTCAACAGCGAACAATCTGAAAAGGAAATAAAAAATGAATCCCATTTAAAATAGCTACAAATAAAATTAAATACCTATGAATTAAATTAACTAAAGAAGTTTAAGATCTCTACAATGAAAACTACAAATCACTGATGAAAGAAATTGAAGAAAACACAAGAAATGGAAATATATTCCATGTTTATGGATTGGAAGCACCAACATTGTTAACATGTCCATACTACCCAAAGCAATCTACAGATTCAATGCAATCCCTATCAAAATACCAATGACATTCTTTGAAGAAACAGAAAAAAATATCCTAACATTTATACAGAACCATAAAAGACCCAGAATAGCCAAAGCTACCTTGAGCAAAAAGAACAAAGCTTGAGAAATCACATTAGCTGACTTCAAGTTACATTGCAGAGCTATAGTAACCAAAACAGCATGACACTGGCATAAAAATAGACACATAGACCAATGAAACAGAATAGAGAACCTAGAAACAAATATATATGTCCACAGTGAACTCGTTTTGAGAAAAGTGCCACGAACATACATTGGGGAAAGGACAGTCTCTTCAATAAGTGGTGCTGGAAAAACTGGATATCCATATGCAGAAGAAAGAAGCTAGACCCCTATCTCTTACCATATACCAAAATCAAATCAAAATAGATTAAAGATTTAAATCTAAGACCTCAAGCTATGCAACTACTAAATAAAACATTGGGGGAAACTCTCCAGGATATTGGTCTAGGCAGAGATTTCTTGAGTAATATCCCACAAGCACAGGTAACTAAAGCAAAGATGGACAAATGGGATCACATCAAGTTAAAAAACTTCTGCACCGCAAAGGAAACAGTCAACAAAGTGAAGAGAAAACTCACAAAATGGGAGAAAATATTTGCAAACTGACAAGAGATTAATTGCCAGAATATATAAGGAGCTGAAACAACTCCACAGGAAAAAAAAATCTGATAATCTAATTTCAAAATGGGCCAAATATCTGAATAGATATTTCTCAAAAGAAGACATGCAAATGGCAAACAGGTGTATGAAAAGGTGGTCAACATCAATGATCATCAGAGAAATGCAAATCAAAACTACAATCAGATATCATCTCATCCCAGTTAAAATGCCTTTTATCTAAAAGACAAGCAATAACAAATGCTGGTGAGGATGTGAAGAAAAGGGAACCCTCATATACTGTTGGTGGGAATTTAAATTAATACAACCACTATGGAGAACAGTTTGGAGGTTCCTAAAAAAACTAAAAATAGAACTAGATCATAAAAATATGACCTAGCAATCCTACTACTGGGTATACATACAAAAGAAAGGAAATCAGTATATCAAAGAGATATTTGCATTCCCATGTTTATTGCAGCACTATTTACAGTAGTCAAGATTTAGAAGCAACCTGTGTCCATCAACAGACAAATGGATAAAGAAAATGTACCTATACACAATGGAGTGCTATTCACCTATTAAAAAAAGAGTGAGGGCCAGGTGCGGTGACTCACACCTGTAATCCTAGCACTTTGGGAGGCCGAGGCGGGTGGATCATGAGGTCAGGAGATTGAGACCATCCTGGCTAACATGCTGAAACTCCATCCCTACTAAAATACAACAAATTAGCTGGGCGTGGTGGTGCACGCCTGTAGCTACTTGGGAGGTTGAGGCAGGGGAATCGCTTGAATCCGGGAGGTGGAGGTTGCAGTGATCTGAGATTGCGCCACTGCACTCCAGCCTGGTGACAGAGCAAGACTCCATCTCAAAATAAATAAATAAATAAATAAATAAATAAATAAATAAATAAATAAGTGAGATCCTGTCATTGACAACAACATGGATGGAACTGGAAGACATTATGTTAAGTGAAATAAGCCAGGCACAGAAAGACAGACTTTGCACCTTCTCACTTATTGATGGGAGCTGAAAATTTAAAAGCATTGAACTCATGGAGATAGAGCATAAGATGATGGTTACCAGAGGCTGGGAAGGGTACTGGGTGGTTGGGTGAGGAAGGTGGGGATGGTTAATGTGTATAAAAAATAGTTAGAAAGAATGAATAAGATCTAGTATTTGGTAGCACAACAGAGTGACTGTAGTCAGTAATAATTTAATCATACATTTAAACATAACTAAAAGAGTATATTGGATTTTTTGTAACACAAGGGATAAATGTGGTGATGGATACCCCATTTACTCTGATATAATTATTACACACTGTATGCCTTTATCCAAATATCTCATGTACCCCATAAATACCTACACTTATGTACCCAGAAAAATAAAAAACAAAAAGAGTGTCCAGGAGGGCATAGTATACATAAATCAAAGAAAGAGAATATTTTCAGAAAGAGAGAGGACAATAATGTCCAAGGTAGGTGGGGAAATGTCAGGAGTCTGAGAAGTTCATTGGACTTAGCAACATGAAGGTCACCAATGACCTTGGTAAAAGCACTTTTGAACGTGTGGAACATGTTGAATCAGAAAGCAAAGTGTGAGATAAAAGTGAAGAGGAGGAAATGTTAAGTATTGGGCATTCTTTTGAAAAATTTGGGTAAGAAGAGAGAGAAGAAAAACAGGGCAACAATTTGATGCAAAAATCGGATAGAGTGAGAAATTTTTAATTGGGCAGGGCATAAGTAAGCTTGAATGCTAAATGAAGAGAAATCTGGAATCCGGATAATGGGGGAGACTTGAGGCTTAGAGCGGAAGGGATATTTTGCCATTGTAAATTTGGTTTATAAATTTTGTGATGGGCAGTCAGTTAATTTCCTGTCCAATAATTTCTTTCTTTATCTCTCTCTCCGTCTCTTTTTTTTTTTTTTTTGACAGAGTCTTTCTCTGTTGCCCAGGCTGAAGTGCAGTAGCACCAGCTCACTGCAACCTCCACCTCCTGGGTTCAAGCAATTCTACCACCTCAGCTTCCCAAGTAGCTGGGATTACAGGCGTGTGCCACCACACCTGGCTAATTTTTGTATTTGTAGTAGAGACGGGGTTTTGCCATGTTGGCCAGGCTGGTCTCCAACCCCTGACCTCAAGAGATCTGACCGCCGCGGCCTCCCAAAGTTCTGGGACTACAAGCATGAGCCACCGTGCCCAGCCTCATTCAATACTTTTTATTTCCTCTTTGAAATTAAAGGAAAAATTTTCTGCTGGGTGTGTGGTGGAGACAGAGAGCTCACCTGACTGAATATTATGCTTTAGGTGTAGTTGGAGCAGGGCTCTGGCTTCATTTTTTGGTCATTCTCTCAGGGCTTCCCTTCAACAGTCAGCATTCTTCCCATACAGGCTTTCTCCATGGTGGCAAAATGGTAATAGAAGTTCCAGGCTTCAAATCACAAACAAACTCCCATTCACAATTGCCACAAAAAAATAAAATACATAGGAATACAGCTAACAAGGAAGATGAAAGATCTCTACAAGGAGAACTACAAACCACTGCTCAAAGAAATCAGAGATGACACAAACAAATAGAAAAACATTTCATGCTCATGGATAGGAAGAATCAATATCGTTAAAATGGCCATACTGCACAAAGCAATTTGCTTTTCCTGTTAAACTACCATTGATGCTCTTCAGAGAACTAGTGAAAACTATTTTAAAATTCATATGGAACCAAAAAAGAGACCAAATAGCCAAGGCAATCCTAAGCAAAAAGAAAAAAGCTGGAGGCATCATGCTACATGACTTCAAATTATTCTACAGGGTTACAGTAGCCAAAACAGCACGGTACTGGTACAAGAACAAGACACACAGGCCAATGGACAGAATAGAAAACCCAGAAATAAGACTGCTCACCTACAACTATCTGATCTTCAACAAACCTGACAAAAACAAGCAATGGGGAAAGAATTCTCTATTCAATAAATGGTGCTGGAATAACTGGCTAGCCATATGCAGAAAATTGAAACTGGACCCCTTCCTTACACCATATACAAAAATTAACTCAAGATGGATTAACAACTTAAGTGTAAAACCACAAACTGTAAAAACCCTGGAAGACAACCTAGGCAATACCGTTCAGGACTTAGGCATGGGCAAAGATTTCATGGTGAAGATGCCAAAAGCAACTGCAACAAAATCAAAAATTGATAAATTGGATCTAGTTAAACTAAAGAGCTTCTGCACAGCAAAAGAAACTATCATCAGAGTGAACAAACAACCTACAGAATGGGAGAAAATGTTTGCAAACTATATATCTGACAAAGGTCTAATATCCAGCATCTATAAGGAACTTAAATTTACAAGAAAAATCCCTATTAAAAAAGTGGGCAAAGGACATGACCAGACACTTCTCAAAAGACATACATGCGGTTAACATTCATATTTAAAAAGCTCAACATCACTGATCATTAGAGAAATGCAAATAAAAACCACAGTCAGATACCATCTCACTCCAGTCAGAATGGCTATTACTAAAAAGTCAAAAAATAACAGATGATGGCGTGGTTGTGAAGAAAGAACACTTATACACTGTTGGTGGGCGTGTAAATTAGTTCAACCATTGTGGAAGACAATGTGGTGATTCCTCAGAGACCTAAAGGCAGAAATACCATTCCACTCAGCAATCTCATTACTAGGTATATATCCAAAGGAATATAAATGTTCTAATATAAAGACACATGCACACATATGTTCATTGCAGCACTATTTACAATAGCAAAGACATGGAATCAACCTAAATCCCCATCAATTATAGAACGGACAAAGGGAATGTGGTACGTATACACCATGGAATACTATGAAGCCATAAAAAAGAATGAGATCATGTCCTTTGCAGGGACATGGATGGAGTTGGAGGCCATTATCCTTAGCAAACTAACGCAGAAACAGAAAACCAAATACTGTATGTTCACACTTAAAAGTAAAGTAAAAGTAAATGAGCTAAATGATGAGAACACAGGGACACACAGAGGAGAACAACACACACTATCAGTAGGTGGAGGATGGGAAGAGGGAGAGGCTCAGGAAAAATAACAGATACTAGGCTTAGTATCTGGGTGATTAAATAATCTGTACAACAAACCCTCCATGACACGTTTACCTATGCAACAAATCTGCACATCTTGCACATGTACCCCTGAACTTAAAATAAAAGTTAAGAAAGAAAAGTTCAAGGCTTCACATTTGTATACCATGGGGTCCATATGAGAAAGAGTTTGTGTTTCAGAGTTTCCAGAAAAACACTGAGATTTATTCAGGTTTAACAGGCATAGGTCATGCACCTACCCATAAACAGATAACATGGCCAGAAAGATGAAATGTTCTGGCTGGTTTGTTCTAATTCATATGTTTGACCCACGTGTCTTGGAGAAAAGTAAATGCTACTAAAACCCATGGATTTCCAACGGAAATATGAGATTGTTTGAAGGGTAGAAAGAGAAATAGATTGCGAGAAGGAAAAAAGAAATGTCCACTACAAAGAATAAAGAAGGGATCCTGGAATCCTCTTTCTCTATAGAGAGAAGAAAAATAAAACAACAACAATGGGATAACTGTAAAGGAATGAAAATTAGGCCAGCATAAGATTTAAAAAATTTAATTTCTGTAATAGATGTATCGTTCTTAAGGATACGTAACTCTTCTTGAGTAGGCTTTGTAAGTTTGTGTTTTTCAAGAGATTTGCCCCTCTCATTTGTGTTACAGAATTTATCGGCACAAAGTTGTTTATAATATTCCCTTATTATCATTTTAATCTCTGTAGGCTACATAGTAATGTCATCTTTCATTCCTGATATTAGTAATTTATGTCTTCTCTCTTTTTTTCTGATTAGTATGGTTAGAGGTTTATAATGTTATCAAGGAACTAGCCTTTGGCATTTGTTTTCTGTTGTATATTTCATTATTTTCTGCTTATCTTTACTATTTCCTTTTTTCCATTTGTTTTGGGATTATTTGCTCTTCTTTTATTAGCTAGCTCTCAAGGAACTAGCTTTTGGAATTTCTGTTTTCTGTTGTATATTTCATTGTTTTCTGCTTATCTTTATTATTTCCTTTCTTCTGCTTATATTGGGATTATTTGCTCTTCTTTTATTAGTTTAAGGTAGAAGCTGAGATTTTTCTTCTTTTCCAATATAAGTGCTTAGTGCTAAAAATTTCCCTTTAAGTATTTTCTTAGCACATCCCACAAATATTGGTGTTTTGTGCTTTCATTTTCATTTTGTTCCAAATATCTTCTTAAGGATTTCTTCTTTGACCTATAGGTTGTTTAGAAGTGTGTTATTTAGTGTTATGAGTTGGATTGTATTCCTCCTCTCAAAAGATGTTGAAATTCTAACCTCCAGCATTAATGTGACCTTATTTGGAAACAGAGCTTTTACAGATAATCACATTAAATTAGGTCATTAAGGTGGGTCCTACTTCAATATGACTGGTGTCCTTATAATATTCTTATAAAAAAGGCAAATTTGGACACAGACACACACCTACACAGAGAATTCCATATGAATATTGGAGTTATGTTTCCATAGGCCAAGGAATGCAAACCACTAGAAACTAGGATAGAGGCATAGGACAGATTCTGCCTCACACCTCTCAAAAGGAACCAAGCCTATTAACACCTTGATTTTGGACTTCCAGCCTCCAGAACTGTGAGACAATAAATTTCTGTTGTCTAAGCCACCCATTTTCTGGTACTTTGTTACAGCAGCTCTAGCAAATTAATAAATTTAGTTTCCAAATATTTGGATAATTTTCCAGATATCTTTCTTTACTTATTTCTCATTTAATTCCAATGTGGTCAGATGACATGCTTTGTACAATTTAAATCCTTTTAAATCTATTGTTGCTTGTTTCATGGCCCAGAATATAATCTATCTTGGTAAATGTTTCATGTGCATTTTTTTGCTGTTGTTTGATGGTTTGTTCTTTAAATATCAATTAGGTCAAATTGGTTGATCATGTTGCTTATGTCCTCTCTATCCTTGTGAATTTTCTGTCTTGTTCTATCAATTATTGAGAGAGAAATATTGAAATCTATTACTGTAACTGTGGGTATTTATTTTTTCTTGGAGTTCTATCAATTTCTGCTTCATATATCTTGAAGCTCTGTTTTAGGTCTACAGTCATTTAGAACCATGACGTTCTCTTGATTCATTTATCCCTTTATCACGTGAAATTGGCCTGCTTATACCTGATAATATGCTTTTCTCTGAAATCTACTTTGTCTGATATTAATATAGGCACTTCAGATTTATTTTGATTAGTGTTATTATGATATATCTTTTTCATTCTTCTACAGGTATTTTTTTCTTTTTTTTTTTTGAGGGACTGATTCAGAAAGAAACTTCTAAAGATACTTTTGACTTTTGTGTATTTTTATATTCAAAGTGAATTTCTGGATGACATGGTAGCTCTGTTTTTGATGTTTTTGAGGAATTCTCTTACTGTTTTCCAGAATGGTGGTACCCATTTACATGCCCACCAAAAGTGTACAAGAGTTCCCTTTTCTCCACATCTTCACCAACACTTGTTATCTATTGTCTTTTTTGTAATAGTCATCCTAATAGGTGTGAGATCGAAAAATGTTAAACTTGTAGAAGAAGAGAGTAGAACAGTGGTTGCCAGGGGCTGAGGAGTAGGGAAAATGGGAAGATTTTGGTCAAAGGGTACAAATTTTCAGGTATAAGAGGAATAAGTTCTGGGAATCTAAGGTACAGCATGGCAATTATAGTTAATAATACTGTATTGTATATTTGAAATTTGCTAAGAGAATAGATCTTAAGTGTCCTCACCTCCCCTCCCCATCTACACACTGGTAACTATTTGAAGTAATGGATGTGTTAATTAGACTGTGGTAATTATTTCACAATGTATACATATGTCAAATAATCACATTGTATATCCAAATATATACATTCTTTATCAGTTATACTTCAATAAAACTGGGAAATATTTTTTTAAATTAAGTGAGTTTCTTGTAGACAGTATATAGTTACGTCTTGATTTTTTATTCAATCTGACAATTTCTGTTTTTTAATTGGAATGTTTACACCATTTACATGTAATGTGATTATTTTTATGTTAAAGATTAAATGTATTTGTTTTATATTTGTTTCATTTGTTTTCTGTTGCCATTTTCCCCTTTTCAGGAGCAAAATATTGTTATCTTACATAAAGGTTGAAATTCAAACTAAAGAGTATCTTAGTTCTGATGGAGCAAAAATAGAAATATAAATACATTATTTGAAGTTACGAAAGTAACCAAGAAAAAACTTAGAATAATAACTATCAAACATTGGATATAGTATATGGGAGATAGGTGGAGGATAGTATATAATGAGCTAATTCTCATATTTCATAGAAGATGTTTATAAAAATTATCTTAATAAGTCAAGAATACTATTTAGAATTACAAAGATCATCATTAGAAGAACTGAAAATAGAAACAAAGAATCCCATCACGGAGTAGCACTGGATGCTTATATGGGATCATTCTTTTTATTTATAAGTTTTCTTGTACTCTTTGCCCTTTTAATATATAAATGGTTTAGCTCAATACCTTTTAAATGAAAAACAGACATTGTAGAGAGTAGGAGGGTTAATGGACTAAGAAATATTAGTGAAAATTTCAGATAATATTAAGGGCCTTTCTTAAAATTCTTCTTTTCTACAAAAATAGGAAGGAATCCCACCTTGGGAAGCAGAGGTAGAAGGTATAATCTGAGTGTTCTCTTGAATGAACTTTCCTAAATTGACAAAAGAAGTACCATCTAACAGAAGGATTCTCAGAATCATCCATGGATCCCAGAATAATTTCCATCAATATTTTAGCTGGAATAAACAGGTGCTCTGGTAAAACCAGGTGATATTAAACCATAGCAAGGATAACAATGAGTTTAGATCCCACTGCCAGATTCCTGGAACCCCTGTCCCAGCTAAATGCACAGGCTTGCAGTGAATGATTCATTAACCATGCAGTAATGCAATTCATCTTTTTGAATTCACTTATTTCTTTATGCTGGAAGGGAGTACCTTATTTGTTTTTCTATTCTTAATTATAACTGTGTGTCCTCTTTATACACATGTGATTTGTATTGCTTCATAAGATTTATATGCTATGCTTAATTAAATTTTTTCTCTTACTTTTACAGCCCTACTCTTCCAATTATTCCCATTATCCCACCACCAGTCAGTGTACTTTTTCCATGAGAAGTTTTGCTATTTTAGATTATAAAACACCACTATCTACCTGGTCAAGGTGTAGTCCTGATACAGGTTAAAGACATATACAGAAATAACTAGATCAGTGTCCATGCAAATCTAAATCTTAAAAACAAACAGAAATTTCATTATGTTACCAGTCTCTGCATTATTTGTCTCAATAGATTTCAACTTTACTCTTCCCTCGTCTCTTTCACTTTATGAGTATCTGAGTAGTATATAAGGTAACCATAGTTACTGGAATAAAACTCCTTTCATGTGTGAAGGCAGAAGCTGTATATGTTTGAAGTGTTATTCATACCTCTATATTTTAAGATTGTTTAACAAATTGGACTTGTCTCTACCTTTCTGCTTCACATGAATTTCGTCATTATTTGAAAGGCATGTACTTCATCTGAAATACCTGCTGGTTCAATATTTGTAACACTTCCTTAATATCATATATAGAGGAAATTCTCCTCCTGCCTTATTGCCTGATGTTTTCCCCTCCATGGAACTCATTTCCAAGTAAATAGCCTAAGAAGTGGTTTTATGAGCATTAAACAAGTAATTCTTTGGTACATTAATTTTGAAAGCATGGGATGACAACAAGTATGGAGAAAGAACAAATCTCAAGGTTGACATTTCTATTCTAGGGAAAAGAAGGCATCTGTAGATTCTCTAAAGCAGGAAAATACATTCATTTAATAATAATATAAATAAAAATATAAAGATTATTGAATGTCAGTATATTATGCAAAGGACATAAATGTTCTCACTTTTAAACAACAGCCTCATAAAGATTTTATCATTACAATTAAACATCTCAACTAATAAATCCCACAGGCTAGAGCCTGAGTCTAAAAATCATCCCACTCCCCAACATTACATCACTTACTGCCCTGATTTTTAAAAATAGTTACTAAATACCAATCTAAAAACTGATTTTTTAATTAAAGATTTTTAAATAGAGATTGGGTCTTTCTGTGTTGCTCAGGCTGATCTCAAACTCCTGGCTTCAAGTAATCCTCCCACCTCAGCCTCCCAAAGTGCTGAGATTACAGGCGTGAGCCACTATGACCAGCGTACTAAATATCAATTTTTATATGAGGTACCTTATAGGGCACTAGAATTTAATAAAAAAAACTTAGTTCTGAGAGATTTGATCTATTATCTCACTATGTTATAGTAGACTTTTGCCTTACAATGATTTGGTTTTATTTTCCTGTTTCTGAAATCTGGGTAGAAATTGTAAAAAATGGCCACTATTGGTCTTGATCTTGTTTATCTCCTATTCTCATTCTAAACTACTCAATTTGGTTTGTCGTCATTTTGATGGAGGTGGTATATCTAAGAATAATCAATTAATATGTAGTACTTGGTAAGCAGTGATTATTGACAAGTTGGCAGGATTTTGCCTTACTACAATCGTCTTTTTCCAGTAGGTTGAGGCAGGGACTGACCTCTCCTGCTAGATAACCGAAGGTGGTGGGAAAGCTGGCTGTCCACTACAACGCCACTTTTCCAGGTTAGTAACAATGAGTTTGGGGAAAATTTTCCACACACTTGGTGCTTGAAAGTTTGGAGGAAGTGTGTTGTAGATAAAAAGTGTAATTATTTTTACCAGCCACATGGAGTTTTTAAAATATTTCTCTGTGGCTCCAGGAACTTTCCCATCCTCATATTTGAGTTCTGGGATATTGCTGGTGATGCTCTCAGTGCTGTGTATTTGTTTTTGATCTTCTGTTGAGGGGAGTAAAGCCAGCTTGCTTCTACATCATCATTTTGGTGACTTCATTATACAATTCTCTCTTTTTAAGAATTCAAGGAAACATGAAATAATAGTGTCCCAGCTCTTCCTAAACTAACTGAGTAAACTTCAGTGTGATCTCAATTTCCTCACTTACAAAAGATAGATAACAAAACCAAACTTACTGGGTTTTGTGAGACTCTGGGGAGAACACATGGGTAAGAGAACTTTGGAAATTAAAATGCCCTTCATAAATGTCTGTTGTTATAATTGCTGCTAAATTTGGAAATGCATTTCCTCAATTTTATTGTTTTATTTGATCATTTCTTTGTATCGCTATGGATGCATGCCTATTTGTTTCATACTTTGGATTATAATTCGATACTACTTTATTTATTTTGTTGCTCAAGTTGTTTCTGCTTTGGCCACTGGGAACATGTTCAGATTGGCTTCTGAAATTCCAAGAATTTCACTGTGCTTTGGAAAAAGAAAAAAAAAATATGTGGATGGTGGTACCTGCAAATAGAGGGAAAGCACTGGGCTGGGAACCAGGAGCCCTCAGTTCTAGTCTCAGTTCTGAACCAACCAACTTTATGACTTTGAGCCAATCACTTAACCTTTCTGAACCCAAATACTTAATGCACTGTAGCTTAGTAGTTATGTGCAAGACATAAAGCCAACCACCTCTGCTCATAGGCAGGTTTTTCTTCATATTAGCTATGCTAACTTGGGCAAATCAATTAACCTCTCTGTGCCTCAGTATCCTCCTCTAGAAAATGGGATAAAATAGTAACTACCTCATAGAGTTGTTGTAAGGATTATTTGAGTTATATGATACTATACCTAATCTATTATGGACTGTGCCCAGCAGATTGCGAGTATTGAATGATATGGTAAAATAAGGACAATAAAATCTGTGCTACTTTACATCTGGGAGCACTGCGACATATGGGAAAGAGTTTGAAGAAGAATGGAATACTCCATCAAAGTATCGTTGCTGTTATAATGATGAGTAATAAACAATAACACAGTATTCTATGGCTACATTTCATTTTTCTTCAGATTGCACTCCCTTCCCTTTTTTTTTAAACTATTAACTAAACTGCAGACTTTATTTGGATTTCACCAATTTTTTCACTAAAGCTCTTTTTGTATTCCAGAGTCCTATTCATTCTATCATATTGCATTTAGTTTTCATGTTTCATAGGATTACTGGTCTGTGACATTTTCTCAGACTTTCCCTGATCTTGTTAGTTTTGAAGACAACTGGTCAGGTATTATGTAAAATCATCCTCAATTTGGGTTTGTCTGATGTTTTCTCATGATTTGTAGCGGAGATATAGATTTTAGAGAAAGAAAACCATAGGGGAAGTAGCTTTCACACCACATCACATCACATCAGGGGATACATGATATCTACATGACTTATCATTGGTAATGTTAACCTTAATAATGTGGATAGGGTGCTGTCTGCCAGGTTTTCTCCACTATAAAGTTACTACTTTGATTCCCTAAAACTACTTCATACTAGGGATAGAGGGGAATTAAACTCCACCTCCTGGAAGGAGATATCTAAATATTATATCAATA
This sequence comes from Homo sapiens, assembly GCF_000001405.40. Classification (NCBI taxonomy): domain Eukaryota; kingdom Metazoa; phylum Chordata; class Mammalia; order Primates; family Hominidae; genus Homo; species Homo sapiens. The sequence goes on from NC_000023.11 coordinate 14,995,313, forward strand.
TGGATGCATGACTATTTATTTTATAATTTGGGTTATAATCCAATACTACTTTATTTTTTTACTCAAATTTTCCCAGTTTTGGTCACTGGGAGCATGTTCAGGTTAGCTCCTGTGTTTCTTTGTCACATCCTTATCCTTTTGTTTTCTGAGTACTTCCTTGCTTTCTGGCACTATACAGTGCTCCAGGCTCATCTTGTCTCATCCTGTCTTCCCTGCTGTAGCCCTAGAATAAGTAATTTCTCCATGAGGCCCTTGTGTCTTTAATGTAAAATGGTAGATTTCTGACTGTTAACATGGTGGGAACAATATGAGAGCTGAGGTCTAGGTTTGATTCCTGACTCCCTGCACATAGCAACTGTGTAGCTGGAGACAAGTTCCCTCATTGTATAATAACATGGGGATAAGGAAATAGGGCACCTCATAGCACTTAGCACAGTGCCTGGCACACAAGGAGCAGCAAATAAATTTCAGCATCTTAATGAATAATTAGCTTAGAACTCTGTCAAAAAGGCCTTAGAAATGTATTTCTTTGACTCTGCTTGCCACATTTGTCATTCTCTTCTTTTTAGCCTCAGAAATCTCTTTGCCAGAATGAATTCTAGCCTCCTCGGGACATTTGCTTTTGCAATTAATCCCCTCTTTTTTTCTTCATAATGTTTTTTCTTTTCTTCTATCAAAGGTTAACATATATTTTCTGTGCCATTCACTGACTCTTTCCTCTGACTCGTCCAATTGTCTCATTTTTCTCTTTGCTATGCTTTTAGAAAGAGGTGCATAAATCAGCTGTCTCAGTTACTACTTTTTAAGATTTTACTACAACTAATACATTAATTATTATAAGACATGTAATATAAATATTCATTATAAATAAATGAATACTATTTAAATTTTTCTAATAGCTACCAAAAAATCTTATTTTGATCTTTTCTATTCTGGTAAAAATATGCTCTTGAAGGTATCAATGGCATCTTTAACCACCAAATGCAATAGCTACTTTTGTGTTCTCTATGGACATTTGTTACTACTCACTTTGGTACTCTTAAATTTTTTCATGCTCAGAGACCATGTGTGGTAGATTAGATTATTGTTTAGCAAATATTCACCTCCCCTGCCCCCTACCCTACTTCTATAGGAGAAATAGTATTCTCCTCATCTCCTTATTGATGTTGGATTTGGCCAATGATGAGTAGGCAGAAGTGACAGAGAATTAGTTCAAAGGCTAAACCTTAAGAGATCTTTAGTGCTTCCCTCCACCCCTCTGGGAATCTCTAATGCCTGCCATGAGGAAAATGTGGCCACATAGCTACTGTCCCTGAGCTGGGGAGTGAGGCCTGTGTTACAGAGCTACTCCAGCCACTCTGCAGCTACTCAGATCTACAGCCTGAAACAGAGTGGCCCTGGAAACTGTACACCCTTGATTGTGGGATTTGAAGATTGGCTCAATTGATGGGCCTTCCAACTTTGAGCATCTGTGTCTTTTTGAACAAGAGCTTTTTATTGCCATGGGAGTCCAACCTGCCCATGCTGATGCAAGCCAGAAATGCTGGGAAATTTACATCCCTGAGAGTAACCCTAAACCAATGACTGACAGAGATTTCTATATAATATTCAGTTTCCTTACCCCTTGGGCAGGATAATTCTAAGACACACATTCTATACTGGCTTTTGTAGATTCCCAGTAAATTGAGGTCTAACTTCCCTAAGGGTAACTTGATTGCCAATTCACTATTAAAGCTGTCTTCCCTTCACTGTCGGTCTTCCCTACTCCTTTTCTGGCATTTCTTATTTAAGAGCTTGCTTGTGGGGAACCATAATAGTATAGCGAATGGATTTGATTCATCCTGATGCAATGCTACCCAAGATAGCTTCCCATCATTCCAGGTATCCCCAAGAACAAAAAACTCTAGCAGCTGAGGGGAAGTTAGAAAGGGCTGTTACTGAAACTCTCAGCCTCTTCAGAGTTGTGGACAGAAGAAAAAAACCCCTGAAGTACCCCATCTCCAAAAGCTTATACCCTCAAACCCTCACTCCACCAGAAATCCAGCATTTGGCTCATTTGGATGGCGGCCATATGGGTATCAACAATGAGACAGTGTTAGCCAGCAACACTATGATAGCCAAAGGGGATGAAAATAACCACTTTAAATAAAGAGGCACTTGTTTTTTCCCCTATCTCTCCTCTATGCCTCTGTCAGTAGTCCTAGAAGTGGAATTTTAAAAAACCATGTCTCACAGCTGATTAAGCTCCTCTCCAATAGCTTAAGTTGTCTCAGTTTAAGCTTGTTTTGGGGGCAGTGACAAGGTAAGTTATAAATCGAATCTGAGATTAAAGCTTTAACCTGGACTGCTCTTGAAGTAACTGAAAGCCACCAGAAATTAATGGCATCTTTCAGGATATCCATTAAGTGATTCACTATTTGCCAGGGAAGAGAGATATGACAGCACATGGTTGAAAGTAGTGATGGGAGAAAGAATAAATCGAGTCATATTTATACTCTTCTTCTCAATAAACCAGTTATGGAAGTGACTTCAGAGATGAATAAAACTCAAGTGCTTGTGTTAGAATGGTTCTAACCTCAAGAAAAAAATGTTTGGCAGAAGCTTATCTAATAATATTGAAGCATAAATCCAGCTCATGTCTCCCCATACACTGTCCCAGAGTGAAAGTCAAAATGCTTATCTGTAAGGATGCTCACCATTACATTGGAAATTTCTCTGATGAAAGCGCTGTGCCAAGGAAAACTGTTTGTGGTATAGAGAAACAGTTACTACAAAATCCTCAATATTTTATTGTTGAATTATTTCAACTCTTGAAGGTCAAGAACAAAATCCTCTTGGAAAAACAAGATGAGAGAGTGTCTGTATAGCTGTTCAGAGTTCTTAACCCCATGTAATCATATTAAGTCAAGAGAGCTTAGAATTACAGGGTTTAGTTGATTTAACATTCCCACTGTCCTTAGAAGGAGAGAGGTATAATGGAGGGATTGAAGGGGATAGACTTACCATATTCTACAATGTGAGAGTTTCACAAAGGTCTTTCACAAAATAAGATAGTTTTTGGAAAACAAAAAGAACAGTAGGAGAGAAAGTGCTTCCAAAAGGATATTAGTCATACTGACATACAGCATAAAATGTTTTACAGCTGGAAAAGACCTTAACATGATCTAATCTAACTGTCTATATTTTACACATCTAGAAGCATCAGCTCTTGATTCCAAGGCTATCACTTTTATTATCCACCGCACCGTTATTTCAGAAAAAAATACATTTTTAGAATTGCAGCCTTATGATCAGGGTAACCAGCAACCCTCTGCCTTTAGGTCATTAGGAAAAATTAGGACAATGACATGGGTATAGACGGATCTGTTTCTTTTGCACAACCAGATTGCATGGACATTTCATCTCCTAAAGATAGAAAATATCACATTGCTTTATAGATCACACTCTATAACAATCTTTATACTACCTGAAGGAAGAAGAAGAAAGTGAGGGTTTTAAAGAAATGGCTTATTGTTGTATCTTCTGGATATGTAGAGGATGGAGGTAGATACTTTCTAGAATCCTGGAGAGAAGAGGTAATGGAAGTATTTAGACTGGAGTTTGTCTCAATTTTTAAATCTATGTATGTGCCCATGTATCTTTTGTGTGTGTGTGTGTGTGTGTGTGTGTGTGTGTGTGTGTCTGCCTAATTTCATTTTTTTTATTATTATACTTTAAGTTTTAGGGTACATGTGCACAATGTGCAGGTTAGTTACATATGTATACATGTGACATGCTGGTGCGCTGCACCCACTAACTCGTCATCTAGCATTAGGTATATCTCCCAAGGCTATCCCTCCCCCCTTCCCCCACCCCACAACAGTCCCCAGAGTGTGATGTTCCCCTTCCTGTGTCCATGTGTTCTCCTTGTTCAATTCCCACCTATGAGTGAGAATATGCGGTGTTTGGTTTTTTGTTCTTGCGATAGTTTACTGAGAATGATGATTTCCAATTTCATCCATGTCCCTACAAAGGACATGAACAAAGCTGGAGGCATCACGCTACCTGACTTCAAACTATACTACAAGGCTACAGTAACCAAAACAGCATGGTACTGGTACCAAAACAGAGATATAGATCAATGGAACAGAACAGAGCCCTCAGAAATAACGCTGCGTATCTACAACTATCTGATCTTTGACAAACCTGAGAAAAACAAGCAATGGGGAAAGGATTCCCTATTTAATAAATGGTGTTGGGAAAACTGGCTAGCCATACGTAGAAAGCTGAAACTGGATCCCTTCCTTACACCTTATATAAAAATTAATTCAAGATGGATTAAAGACTTAAATGTGAGACCTAAAACCATAAAAACCCTAGAAGAAAACCTAGGCACTACCATTCAGGACATAGGCATGGGCAAGGACTTCATGTCTAAAACACCAAAAGCAATGGCAACAAAAGCCAAAATAGACAAATGGGATCTAATTAAACTAAAGAGCTTCTGCACAGCAAAAGAAACTACCATCGGAGTGAACAGGCAACCTACAAAATGGGAGAAAATTTTCGCAACCTACTCATCTGACAAAGGGCTAATATCCAGAATCTACAATGAACTCAAACAAATTTACAAGAAAAAAAACAAACAACCCCATCAAAAAGTGGGCGAAGGACATGAACAGACACTTCTCAAAAGAAGACATTTATGCAGCCAAAAAACACATGAAAAAATGCTCACCATCACTGGCCATTAGAGAAATGCAAATCAAAACCACAATGAGATACCATCTCACACCAGTTAGAATGGCGATCATTAAAAAGTCAGGAAACAACAGGTGCTGGAGAGGATGTGGAGAAATAGGAACGCTTTTACACTGTTGGTGGGACTGTCAACTAGTTCAACCATTGTGGAAGTCAGTGTGGCAATTCCTCAGGGATCTAGAACTAGAAATACCATTTGACCCAGCCATCCCATTACTGGGTATATACCCAAAGGACTATAAATCATGCTGCTATAAAGACACATGCACATGTATGTTTATTGCGGCACTATTCACAATAGCAAAGACTTGGAACCAACCCAAATGTCCAACAATGATAGACTGGATTAAGAAAATGTGGCACATATACACCATGGAAGACTATGCAGCCATGTATCATTTTTTATCTGTTTCCCTGTAGTGATATTAGCAAGCTGTCCTTAAATTAGGATGCATTCTGGGCTTGCCTCTAGATAAAATGACTATAAATTAATAGATATTTTTAAATCACACAAAACTCAAGGAAAAAAATAATAATCAAAATATGTTTAGCCACAGAGCTGTATTTTGGGAGAGTATAAATAATAGAAATCTTCAAAATGGAAAATGTGATAAAAGGTAAAAAAAAAAAAAAGAAAATAGGTGGAACAAGGTCATAGATCCCACAGAAATAAAAGAGGGGAATAGGAGGGAAGGCAGTCAGGGATTGAAAAATCCTCTTGGGGTCTTAGCCATCAGAAGGTGATGTTTGGAGGATGTCTGGTTCTTCTCTCTGAGGCCTCCAAATGCTTTGCCTCTTTTTGGTGATGCTCATCCCTTATTTTAAAATTCTGGCCCTATTTCCAAAGCCTTATTTATTGGCTTTGAAATAAGAGCATATTTCTTATTTTATGACACTTACTGGAGAATGTGCACCTCAGTGAATGATGGTCTCTTTTTCTCCAGCCTTTGGATTTTGTAAGCATGCCCAGAAGCTCATGTGTGAGGTTGCTGGCTAATAAATATGATAAACACCATTTTTCCATTTTCAAAATCAGGCATATTGATTACACAAATCTTTAAAAGTATTTTTGATGGGCAAAACTGTTTCCAAGTAAAATTAGTCATTATTCTGCAGCCCCTTTTTATGGACACAGAAAATACATCAAGCCCTGTGGGGATACAGAGTGTGAGGCACAGACTTTCAGCTGCTTTGCAAGCAACCTGATTTTGCAGGAATTTGAAGTTTAAGAGAAAGCTATCTTTAGAAGCACTGGAAAGCTAAAGAATATTTTACATTCAGACATGGCTCAAGAAAAAAAGTGAAAATCATTATGGTATTTAAAATTCTCATTTATTGTAGAGGAATCTAAACCAGAATTTTCTAAATAATAGACATGCCTCTCAAATTGAGAAGTTATTTCCCACCTGCTAAAAGAGTAACTGGAAATTGTGTAAGAAGTATAAGTTTTAAAGTGGTTATGTAAATATACTCAAGATCAAGAATAGTTGCATCTGGGAAATAAGAACATTATGAATAAGGGATGTTCACACTGTTATTACAAACAAACTAAGTACAGTAAAATTCTAAGAAAGGGGCATTAACATATACACTCTCAAGAGTAAATCAGCCAGAGTGAAAAAATAAAAAATTGGAGAACAATCTTTGGCACAATTTCTCCCCATTGAAATAAGCCCAGAACTGAATGAGATCTTTGAGGAAAAGGAGATGGCCCTCAAAGAAAATGTGAATTTATCACTGTTACTTGCAGATGATATTTTTATGTCAGTTTCCATATCATACATTCTCACTGTTGCTATATCGGACACTGGATGACACACTGGAACTCACAGGGTATATGAGCCTTTAGGAGAAAGCTGAAATGAAAATGATGAATAATTGATGACCTTTTGCTATTGCAGGTGGCATAAATTACATTATTTTTAGGAAGGCACAGAAATGTTGTGGGATATGTTTTATCTGTCAAAAATCTTTCAGTTAAAAGTCACAAGAACCCAACTCAAAATAATTTAAGAAGATAAACCCCCAAATAAACAGAAGGTACAGTAGGTGAGGTTATGAAGAAGTTAGGGTTGTATTTAATGAAATCCAGGACTTCAAGTGTTGTCATCTATATTCTGTATATTTCTCAATCTCTTGAAAGCTCTTTACATGTATAGGCCAAGATGACACCAGAAAGTTGAGACTCATGTTCTGTTAGCTTAGTAATCATCTCAGGAATGAGAAGTAGTTTTCCCCATCATCTAAGAAGGATACTTATTAATCTGGCTCAGAATAATATGCTCATGCCTGAATTAATAATTCATCCAGGGGGATGAGAGACTCTGATTGGACAGAGCTTCCAGTTATATATTTAATCCCACATTCTTAAATATAAGCAGACACCAAGTATTACCAGGCATCTGAGGAAAGCATATAATAAACAATATTGATACCAAAAACAACCTACCAGAAGAAAAGCAAGTTAGACTGGATTAAGAAAATGTGGCACATATACACCATGGAATACTATGCAGCCGTAAAAAATGATGAGTTCATGTCCTTTGTAGGGACATGGATGAAATTGGAAACCATCATTCTCAGCAAACATCGCAAGGACAAAAAACCAAACACTGCATGCTCTCACACATAGGTGGGAATTGAACAATTGAACTTGGACACAGGAAGGGGAACATCACACACCGGGGCCTGTTGTGGGGTGGGGGGAGGGGGGAGGGATAGCATTAGCAGATATACCTAATGTAAATGACGAGTTAATGGGTGCAGCACACCAACATGGCACATGTATACATATGTAACAAACCTGCACGTTGTTCACATGTACCCTAGAACTTAAAGTATAATAAAATATATATATATATAATAAAAAATAAAGTAGATGTAAACAAGGTAAAAAAAAAAAAGAAAAGCAAGTTAGAGATTATAGTGACTATGCAGGGATAGTACAAAAAACCCTTAAAATCTATCACTAATATCATCAAAGAAGATACTACAAACATAAAAGGAGAACATGATATTATAAAAAGGAACATTCAGAAGATAAATACACCCTTAAAAACTAAAAAAATTATAACATGAATGAAAACCTCAATAATTGTATTGAGGGATAGATTTCAAGAACTCTTCCAGGAAGTAACTTTTTTCAAAAGAGATATAAAAATAAGACAGCAAAGAAAACTAAAGGACCAGCCCAGCAGGTCCACAATCCAAATTATAGGAGTTGTAAAAAGACAGAAAAGAACAGAAAGGCAAAAATCACCAATAAAACAATTCAAGAAAGTGTTCAGAATCATAGGATATGTGTTTCCAAATTGGAAAAAAATCTCTCACAGAGCAAATAGGAAAATAGATTAAATAAACATACAAGGACTCTTCAACAAGAAATTCAGGATTATGGGTATAAAAAGATCCTATATACAAATACAAATTGATTGAGGGAGGGAGAGACGGAGGGAGAGAGGGAGAGAGAATGAGCATGTCACATACTAATAATCAGGAATTAAAATAATTTAACACTTCTCAATAGCATTACTGTAAGCTAGAAGACAATGGAATAATGCTTTAAAAATGATTTCCAAGGAGTGACATCAGCAAAATGGCAGAGTAGGTGTTATCTGGACTCACTCTCCTCCACAGAATCACAACTAGCAAGATTATCCAGAAGCAAGATTACCACCCGAAATATCTCAGAACTTAGGAGTGAGACTGTGATGGTCCCTTGAACTGCAGAACTGAGAAGAACCATGATCAGATGGTAAGGAGAATGATTCTGTTTGACTATGATGTCCTTCCCCCAAGCAAGCACAGCGTTACACATGGAGAATTCCCCTGGACTCATGATTTCAATAGTGGAAAAAGTGAGTTGAAGGTAGACTTTTGGCTTCCCCAACATTCTGAGACTATATGCAGGAGGCTCACTTCTGTTTCATTCCACAGAAAGTACTGTGAATGCCAGCATGGTTAAGCCATCTGAGGTCAGCTAGAGACAAAGAATAGGGGTGGGGTTCACAGTGGCCAGTGCAGGACTCTGGTTGCTCTTCATTATGGCCAGGACAAGCACCATACTAGAGAGGCCACTCAGCAGTGCCATACAGCAGGAGGCATGGTCCATGAGGCTCTTGGGCTCAAGCCCCTAGACAGCTTTTACCAGTATCCCAGGTATCCTCCTTGAGTCTTCCCTCAGCAGTTTCAGGTAAGGCATTATGCCAGCCTCAGAGTCCTCATGTGACTTTCAGTGAACCTGGGCTTAAGGCACTCTCTGGTGCTGAAACAACTGCAGCTGTCATGGGCCTAAGGACCAACAGTCAGTCTGCTCAGAATTTCTGGACATACCTAATGTAGAAGGATGGTCACAAAGCCAAACTGTGACAACTAAAATAAATACCTAATCTTTTAAGATACGGACATCAGTGCATGAGTGAAAGAAACAAGAATACTCAGGGAAATATAACCTCAGCAAGCAGACAAAATAAGATGCTGGTGATTGGCCCCAAAGAGATGAAGATGAATGATCTCCCAAACAAATAATTCAAAATAGCTGTTTTTAAAAAGCTCAGCGAATTTCAAGAAAATACAGAGAAACAATTCAGAATTTTATTAGAGACATTTAACAGAGAGATTGAAATAATAAAAACCCCAGAAGTCCTGAAGGTGAAAAATACAGTGAAAGAAATGAAAAACGCAATAGAGACTATCAATGCAGAATTGATTGAGCAGAAGAAAGAATCAGTGTACTATTAAGACAGGCTATTTGAAAACCTATAGTCAGAAAAGAAAATAGCAAAAAGAATAGAAAGGAACAAAGAAAGCTTATGTGATTTGTGAGACAGCATCAGACGAACAAATATTCAGGTCATTGGAATTCAAAAGGGGGTAGAGAATAACAAAGGGGCAGGAAGCATATTTAAAGAAATAATAGCAAAAAAAATTTCAAACCTGGAGAAATATATAAATATCCAGGTACAGGAAGGTCAAAAGTCATCAATCAGATTCAATCCAAATAAAAGTACTACAGAACATATTATAATTGAATGGTGAAAAATCAAGACAAAGAAAGGATTCTGAAAGCAGAAAGAAAAAAGAAGCAAGTAACATATAAGGGAATTCTAACACACCTAGCAACAGCCTTCTCAGCAGAAGCTTATAGGCAAGGAGGGAGTGGGATGATATATTCAAAGTGCTATAGGAAAGAAATTGTCAACCAAGGAAATTGTACCCAGCAAAGCTATCCTTCCAAAATGAAGGAAAGATAACTACTTTCCTTGATGAACAAAAGCTGAGAGAATTCATTACCACCAGACCAGTTTTATAAGAAATAACGGGAGTTCTTCAAATTCAAAGAAAAGGATATTAAAACAGCTAAAGGTATAAAAGTCATTGGTAAAAGTAAGTACACAGTCAAACTCAGAATACTCTAATAATATACCAGTGGTTATAAATCACTTATATTTTTAGTATGAAGATAAAAAAACTATTAAAAATAATAACTATAATAATTTGTTAAAGGAAAGGCAATAAAATATGTAAATTGTGACATCCAAAATTCAAAATATAGTAATGGGAAGTAGAGTTAAAGTGTAGAGTTTTTTGTTTGTTTGTTTCTGATCAGTTAGGTGGTTATCAGTTTAAAATAAGCTCTTATAAGATGTTTTATGTAGGCCTAATTTAGGTAGCCACAAAACAAAAACCTGTGAAAGATACACTAAAAATAAAAATCAAGGAATCAAAATATACTGCTAGAGAAAAATCACTCAACCACAAAAGAAGACAGTAATAGAGGAAGAAAGGAAGAAAGGATCTAGAAAACAACTAGAGAACAAGTAACAAGATGGCAATAGTAAGACCTTACCTATCAGTAATTACCTTGAATGTAAATGGGTTAATTTCTCCAATTAAAAGACATAGAGTGGCCAAATGGATTAAAAAAAAAAAAAAAAGACCCAGCTGTGTGCCGCCTACAGAAGACTCACTTCACCTGTAAGAAAACACATAGGCTGAAAGTGAAGGGATGGAAAGAGATACACCATGCCAGCAGAAACCAAAAGAGAGCAGAATTAATTATACTTATAGCAGATAAAATAGACTTTCAAGTCAAAAATTTAAAAAGAGACAAAAAATGTCACGATATAATGAGAAAGGGGTTGATTCAGTGAGAGGATATAACAATTGCAATTATATATGCACCAAATATTGAACCACTTAAATATATAAAGCAAATAATAGATATCAAGGCAGAGATAAGACTGCAATACAAAAGTAGTAGGGGACATCAACATCCTAGTTGCAGCAAAAAATCAACAAAGAAACATCAGATTTGCACAACAAAGGAAATAATCAACAGAGTGAAGACACAACCTACAGAATGGGAGAAAATATTTGCAAACTATATATCCGATAAGGGATTAATATTTAAAATATATAAAGAACCCAAACAAATATACACTGTTGATGAGAATGTAAATTATTACAGCCATTATGGAAAACAGCATGGAGGTTTCTCAAAAAATTAAAAATAAAACTACCATATGATTCAGCTATCCCACTACTGGGTATATAGCCAAAGGAAATGAAATCAGTAATATCAAAGAGATATCTCCATTCTCATGTTTATTGCAGCACTATCACAATATCCAAGATATGAAATCAACCTGTGTTCCTCAGTGGATGAATGGACAAGGAAAACGTGCTATATATACATAGTGGAATAATGTGCAGCCATTAAAAAGAATGAAATCCTGTCATTTGCAGCAACATGAGTAAGCTTGAAGAACATGTTAAATGAAACAAGCCAGGCACAGAATAACAAATACCACAAGATCCCACACATATGTGGAATCTAAAAAAATTCAACCTCAGGACTAGATAGTAGAAATGGTAGTTACCAGAGGCTGGGATGATTGGAAAGGGAAGGATGATAAAATCTTGATCAAAGGACACATAATTATAGTTAGATAGGATAAGTAAATTTCAAGAGTGCTATGATACAGCAAGGTGATTATAGTTAAGAATGACATATTATAGTCTTAAAAATGTAAAAAATAGATGTTATGTGATCTTACCACAAAATAGATATCTAAATGAAGTAGTGCATTTGTTAATTAGCTGAAGTTAACCATCTCACAGTGCATATATACTTCAAAACATCTTGTTGTACACAAAAACATACAGTGTCATTTGTCAATTTAAAAAACATTTTAAAAATGATTTTAAAACCTAGAATTCTACATGCAACCAAATTATCAGTCAACTGGGGAGACAAAAAGGTCTCCCAAACTTATGTACCATTTTATAATCTTTATTAGGAAGCTATGCAAAGTATGCTTTACAGTGAAGAAGTCCCCTAATACAGGACTCAGGAGAACCAGCATAGTAGTGAGGGAAAGATATTCTTCAGCATGCCAGTAGTGCAGCAGGCACAGAGGCAGCTCATCCAGAGTAGCACTTATCAGAAAGTACTGGGAGAGGTTTTACAAGAAAAATGGACATCACAGAGCACCTGATGTGACTGAGGCTCTTGAGAAGAGATTCAGGCAGTTGCCAGAATGCATGGAAATTAAGTAATGTTTAATGCTAAGTATGTGGCAAACTAGCATTCCCATGCAATAAATGAGGCAATTATCAATCACAAGAGGATTAAAAATTTATGAAAGGAAAAGTAATCATATTTTACTACAAACTCACCCATAAGTAGTATTTACATAGCCATAATAAGGTAAACAATAATAGTCTAACTAGAATTAAGATATAAGAATATTGAAAAAAGGGGAGAATAGTGACTGCTCATTTGCCACTGTGGGAAGTCAATTAATAATGCCTAAGATAAAATATCAAGAAGTAGCAATTATTGAAACAAATGTGTTATTTGGAGAAACAGAATAGTTACATAAAAATAAATCAGCTATAAGAGGAGAAAATGGTTTTCACTGGAAGCAGTAAATGATATGGTGGCCATCTGGTTTTACATAAATTTGTAAAAACATTATATGTGCATAATATTGGCATTATAACTTTACACATAAAAATATAACTTTGATTAAAAAATAAAAAAACAAATTCTGCATTCTATCTAGTTCATTCTCTATTTTTAGAAATCCTAGGCTCCAGATCTCTTTGGGATTAATAGCTTTCATGTCAATAATTAGCTAAAAGAAGGTGACAGCAAATAGATTTTTTTTGAGATGTAAATTTGGTAAGAGTGACATAGATTTAAGAAAGACTGAATAAAGCATGTTGACAGGAAAAGAAATAATTTTATGCCACAGCCCATTTATTTATACTAACACTAAGACTTTTATTTATTTATTCATTTATTTGTTACTCTTATTATTATTTTGAGACAGAGTCTCGCTCTGTCGCCCAGGCTGGAGTGCAGTGGCGCTATCTCGGCTCACTGCCAGCTCCGACTCCCGGGTTCACGCCATTCTCCTGTCTCAGCCTCCTGAGTGGCTGGGACTACAGGCGCCCACCACCACACCCGGCTAATTTTTTTGTATTTGTAGTAGAGACGGGGTTTCACCGTGTTAACCAGGATGGTCTCGATTTCCTGACCTCGTGATCCGCCTGCCTCGGCCTACCAAAGTGCTGGGATTACAGGCGTGAGCCACTGCACCCGGCCGACTTTTATTTTTTTAAAAAACAATATTCCATAGTAGGTAAATACTGAAAGACTATTGTACTTTTTTTTCTCTTGGAGACAATCAATAAAATTATATTATGGCAATTATCTAATAAGTTTTATACTTTTATGAAATATACAATCAGAACAATGTCTTCTACAATTCATATGTGCTCAATAATGAAATATTCCTTTCTCTAGCCAAATTCATTCTCAGAATCAACTCACTTTTATCAGGATTATCAAAATCTGTGAAATTAAAAAGAAGCCCTCTATCTTATCATAGAAACAAAAATAAAATAGCTTTCTAGTCAGCTATACACCAATTATAGCCCTCAAATTGCTCACAGTCTCATATTGGCTACAGAAACAGAAATGTAAACAGATAAAATATAAATAGACAATTATAAGACAACACGGCCAGGGGCCAAATGGGGGTGTGTGAGCAAAATAGAGGGTGTTTCTAACTTCCTGAGTGTGGGGGTGGGGTATTTCAGGCAGAAACCCCCCTTCTGAAAGATCAGGAGGCTGGAAACCACGAAGCATGAGCTGCTGGTAGCTCCTGGCTCAGTATACAAATGGACACCTCTATAAGGAGATCCAATGCAAAGTAAATGTCAGATCATGAGGAGGCCATTCAATATTGAGGGGACACATTCGATAGAGTGCAGAGGGAGAAGGTGGTCCTGGGAGATGAAAACTGAACAAGAACAGTTGAGGTACAGGCTTGCGAATCAAGTTTAGAAGATAAGAAAATTGGGCAGAAGAGTGGGTCTAGGAGAAACATCTAGAGAAAGTAGGGAGTTATTCAGGACTCAGAGGTTTCTAAACAGGACTCCTGCTAGGATCAGGTCTGAGCTTCAAGCAAAAGCATTAAGTAGGTCATTTACTGTATTATGCCTGCCCCTGAGTTTTTTTGTTTGTTTGTTTGTTTGTTTGTTTGTTTTAACCATGACAGGGTCTCACTCCTATCACCCAGGATGGAATGCAGTGGTGTAATCTCAGCCACTGCAGCCTTGACATCCTGGGCTCAGGTGATCCTCCCACTTCAGCCTCCCAAGTAGCTGGGACTATAGGCATGCGCCACTACACCCAGCTAATTTTTTGTATGTTTGGTAGAGATGGGATTTCACCATGTTGCCCAGGCTGGTCTTGAATTCCTAGCCTCAAGCAATCTGCCCACCTCAACCTCCCAAAGTTCTGGGATTGCAGGCGTGAGCCACTGCTCCTGGCCTCTCACTGTTTTTAAAAAAATTATTTTAGTATTTCCCTTCCACCGTGTGAAGACACAGCTAGATGATGCCATCTTTGAAGCAGAGAGTGAGTTCTCACCAGAGGACTGGTGGTACCTTGATTTGTGGACTTCCCAGCCTCCAAAACTGTGAGCAATAAATTTCTGTTGTTTATATATTTTAAAAATTATTTTATTTTTAATTTTGGTGTAAAACAAAATATAAAAGTTATCCTTTAGACCATTTTAAGTGTACAGTTTGGTAGGGTTAACTATATTTACATTATTGCAAAATAGATCTCTGGAACCTTTTCATCTTGCAAAACTGACACTCTATACTCATCTTGTTCTCTTCTTAGATTTTCTCCATGTTGGGAGAACCACCAGATAAAGAACTAGATCTCCCAGTTGAGTCCTCCCACTTGAAGGCATTTAGAACCCCAAGCCAGACACTTTGAAGTTCTAAGTGTTGGAATTTTCTAATATCTCTTAGTGCATTGGAGTAGAATTGTCAAGTTTATTTCTTTTACTATTAGCGCTTCAGAAAATATCTGCAAGGGGCTGCATGAATCACCATCTGGTTTGAAAGAAGATCAATATAGCTTAGTGTTCTCAATAAAATAAAAACAGGGAGCCAATTTAATTATTATGCTTCTGTTGAGCTTTCTATCCCCAAAGCTAATAACTTTTCTGTAAGGATCCCCACCTTGATTACAGCCCATGTTATATAAAATTTAGAATTCAATAATGTTGCATCCGACTTCTGGGAGTCGGCTTGGCAAACATTTTTATTAGCTAAAAGTTCTGGTGAAGGCAGAAGCTCTGACAAAAGCAAGAGAGCAAGTGAGCAGGCAAGTAAACAAGTGAGAAAAGAAAGAAGGAAGGAAGGGAGAAAGGCAGGGAGGGGAGAGAGAAAAGGAGAAAAAACAACTAGACGCTGTTGTAGAGAGTTTTAAAGAATTTCTTTCAATACAAACAACTTTTCCCACAAATTAAAATGAGAAGTATTCATTATAGCACAAGTCAGCTTTACTCCACTCTGTCTCAGATATTGTGGCTGCATCTCTGACAAATGTATTTAAACTACTGGAGCTTCTGAGTAAATCTAGTATGCTGGCTGTGATCTCAGTCAGCTTTATTTTGTCTATCATCTTTGATACCATTTCTCCAGACCCTCTCTATGAGTCGTTAAGTAGGTGAGGGAAAGAGAAGTAATTATGGGAGGTGACAGTACCCTCTAGCATTTCCCCTAAAAACTGGTGTCTCAGATATTAGGGAAAGTCTGAAAAGCAGATTCTGAGATGGGGATTACCACATAGGAACTCTATTGGGATATGGTCTTGGAATCAACATCTGTGAGGGAAGGGAAGGAATCAGGCTGGGTGGAAGAAGCTGGGCCTCAGACAGTCACAAGAGGATCCCAGGGTGGTCACCCTAGGATCTCTGGAGCTGGGATGGCTTTGCATAGATATCCTGAATTGCAACTAGGAATATCTTTATGCCCCTGCATCAACCATTCATTGGATAGGGGATGTCCCCCTGCTACCCAAGGAAACATAACCTCGGATGAAGTGATTCTCCTCGGCCAAGAACAACTTCTGGAGGGAGACTCAGCTGTGATCTGTCAGTCATTAATTTTTTTAGCAGCTAGGGGAATGAGTTCTTTAGTCTGCATGAGGGGGAATTAATTTTGCTGTAAGTTACAATCTGGGGTCTCAGGAATTCCCTGCATCTTGATGAGCCCGAGTGTGGGCCAGTTAGTCCCTGCAGAGCAATCATTTTAGACTTTAGAACCAAAATCCCAAGACAAAATGGCCCCTCACCCAACAACTGCTGCCAAATTCTTGGCACTTGGGGAAATTTTGGCCAACCATCTGTCTGTTGGAGGAACTGTTCTAATCCTTTGACAAGAGTACATTGTCATTCAGATGGTATGAACCCTAGTGGCTCCATACTCATCTTTCCCCGTTCATTTCATCCACTTTGGGGAGGAGCCCTAACCAGGTCAAGGACACACAATGAGTATTGGGAGGACAATAGCCATTCCTGCCTACTAAGGCAAGTATAACCCACTATATGCCAGAAGCAAGTGCTCAGGAGTCAGCCAGGCTATGTTCTCATATATCCCTGACCTTGTGGGCAACTTATTAATGCCTCTGAGCTTCATTTGCCACAAATGGGACCAATAGTGCCTACTTTTTAAGGTTTTTGTGAACATTAAGTGAAATTTAGGTAGATAGATATATAGACAGACAGACAAAGATACATTTGTTGAAAGGTAATATATCTTAATGGTTCAAAATATTTTATATTTATATTTCTTGGTTTTATGTTTACTAGCTATATGTCACATGTCTCTGGGATAATTATAGCATCTCTATACCTTCATTTCCTTACCTATAAAACAAGTCATAGTGAGGATCAAATGAAATAATATATTTAAATTACTATTACTAGTGCTTAACACACAGATAACTACTCAGTATATGTTAACTGTTGTTATTCAGAGTTCTAGCACATAGCGAGTGTTCAATAAATTGTCTATCATTAAGATGGAGGTACAATTACTTCAACTAGTGATGAAATCATGATAGAGGGCTTTCTCCTTCCAGTGATTCTTCTCTTTTCATTTTTAAGTGGGGCATTTTGGGTGGTGAAAAACTTGGGAGATGTCTTCACTACAGAAGAGCTGAGAGGGCCTGGAGTAGTATTTAGGTAAGAACAATGGGGATTCTGACTGCTTGGGGATGGCTGTGTCATGGCCCAGGGGTTCTAAAAGTGTGGTTCCAAGATCAACATTATCATCACCTGGGAACTTGTTAAAAATGTAAATTCTTGGGTTGCACCCCAGACCTACTGAATTGGAAACTCTGAAGCTAGGGCTTAGCAATCTGTTTTAACAAGTCCTGTTTTAACAAGTAATCCTGATATATGCTCAAGTTTGAGAACTGATATCCTAGGCCTTGGAAAAGATATGAAGGGGGTTTTAAATGTTTTGTGTTAGATGGGGAATGGTACCTTTGGAGATACGTGACAAAAATAAGCAAATTCCCTCAAAAGATGTTCATAAATGAATATCAATCCTTGGAGGTAGCCGTCCTTGAACAAGCAGTGAGAAAGGGCCAGAGCCGTCTCACTGTATGTCACATTATTATGTGTTGGGGCATCTCAGCTACTCTGTTTGCTTGGCCCATGGTAGGTGTTTGATAAATAGTTACTGAGCTAAGGAGCAAGGACAGATACGCAGAAGACACAAGTCCTCAATGTTTTCCATTACCTAAGCCACACAGTCACATCTTCATGCAAATTCTGGAGTAATCAATCGGTCATGTGTGGGCCTCCCTACTGCACAACTGTGTACCTCTAGTGGATAAAGACTTAGTACAGATTTCTGTTTCCTTGGATTCCCAGAGTGGGTACCATATCTGGCCCTGCATAGCTATTGAATTGGGCAGTCACACAATTTCTTTCAGGCCAGGAATATAACCATCCATCATCTAAACTAACCATGAAGCCAGCCCTCATTCCCATATTCAAACTTCTAACATATTAGAGATTTATGGAATCAGGAGAAAACCCATCAAAGAATCCCCCTCCTTCCAAAGGTTTTGATGTTCAGTGTATCTCATTGCTATTAATCACATACAACTTGGAATCTTGCTGTAATCATACACATGAAAATTGTGATAGTTGAGAAAAAGTTGAAACGTTTGTTTCTGTATTTTTGTTTTAAGATATGAAAGCATATGGGAGTCCTGTTGGGCACAAATGGCTCTATATTTTCTAAATCTCTCTAAAACAAAATGTGTAAGTCAGAATTTTCTGCTCTAAATTCCATATGGCTTTAATTAATTCACAGAGTGAGTAAATGTATTTTCCATTTAATGAAAAAGGCTTTTGGCAGTAGGACCACTTACTCTGCACTAGTTAATGGAGCATTAAGAATAACACAGAGAAATATTAATTATATTTGAAAAGATGGCTAGCTTTAAAGTTAGGCTATTAGCCACTTATAGCATCTCTCACAGAAATGATACAACATACTCAAAGAGAAATCTTGTCCTACTATTAATACTATCATATTCACAAATTAATAAGTCACGACATTCTCTAAAATATCTCTAATTCTCTAAAAATAAACAAATAGCCCTATAATATCCTACTCCTGACCAATGCCATCTTTGCATTTAAAGTATCTATCTTATAATTTCAAACACGAGATTTTACCAGTTGTTGTGTTTGCTCTGAGCAAAACAAATAAAGTAGGAATATTAGGATTCTTGGTCACAAGATTTGTAGGAAATATTATTGTTTGTTCTTAAAAAAGAGAGGGAAACAGTACATTCCCCTAACAACAAAGGTGTCAAATGGCTTAAAGGCAGCTTCCTTAAAAAGTACTGTCTGAAGAGACTTCCTTCGTATACTTTTGATCCATATCCATATAGTGAGGGTACTACACATAACACCAAGGTTATTTCATCCCTCAATTTATAAAGATTGGCTTTCACACTGAACACATGGGACAGTGATGAATACTGCTTCTTTTAGAGCAGATGGGAACATCCTGGCAGTCAGAAGCTGTATTTGGCAAAGTATGTGAGAAGAGTTTTTGAGGCATGAGATAGTGTTGGGTGCATTCCAAGATAGTGCACACCAACCCATTGAGGTAAAAGAGATGTATCCGTTTGCTAGGGATGCTATAACAAAGTACCACAGATTTGGTGGCTTAAACAACATAAATTTATTTTTTCACAGTTCTGAAGGCCAGAAGTCCAAGATGAAGGTGTTAGCAGGGCTGTTTTTTTCTGAGGCCTCTCATTTAGGCTTGCAGATGGCTGTGTTCTCTATGTGTCTGTGTCTGTGTGTCATCCCTCGGCCTGTGTTTTCTATGTCCTAATCTTCTCTTCTTATAAGAAAGTGCTGCTTGAGTCCAGGAGCTCAAGGCCAGCCTAAGCAACATGGTGAACCCCCATCTCTACAAAAAATATAAAAATTAGCTGGGCGTGGTGGTGCGCTCCTATAGTCTCAGCTACTCAGGAGGCTGAGGCAGGAGGATCACTTGAGCCTGGAAAGTTGAGGGTGCACTGCAGTGAGGAGTGATGGCACCACTACACTCCAGCCTGGGTGACAGAGTGAGACACTGTCAAAAAAAAAAAAAAAAAAAAGAGTACCAGTCAGTCATATCAAGTAATGACTGAATGACCCCATTTTAACTTAATTACCTCTTTAAAGACGCTATCTTCTAATACAGTCATATTCTGAGGTACTGGAGGTTAAGGCTTCATGAATTGGGGAGAGGGGCACAATTCAGCCCATAACAGAAGAAAATAAGATTACTTTAGTTTTGGGATTATAACTTTTCTTCATTCACTCATTCAATGCAGTTATTCATTTATTGAACAAATAACTGTGAATCTCAGCTGTAATAATTGTAATTTAAGACAGATATGTAGTGTGATGAAAACTTATATTAGGATTTAGCCTGGTCATATAGGTGAATGAAAACATCCCTAAGGAAGTAGCAATTCATCTAAGATCTGAAAAATTAGTAAGTATGGAACAAATGAAGGGGGAAGGGAAGTGTTTTAAGAAGAGAAAACAGTATATACAAGGACCCCATGTTAAGGACTATGTATGAAGGAGCACAAGAAAAGTCACTATGGCCAGACCAGGGAGATGAAGGGAAAGTCTAGGAAAAGATGAGGCTGAAGAAACAGGTAGAGGCCAGATGGGCACAATCTTGTGGGGGTAGATTAAGGATCTCGTGTCTACTTGATAAGTAATGAAAAGTCTTTAAAGTGTTTTAAATCTGAAGATGGGGATGAGGGTGGAAATAATTATACCACTTTGACTGTACTGTTGATAATGAATCACAGACAGTGGTACAGGGCAAGTGGGCAAGCAAGTTAGGAGGTGTTTGCAGACGTTCAGAAGATGGTAAGAGACAGAAGTCAATGGTTTCAAAAATATTTAGGTGGTAAAATCAAAAGGATTGAATTAATAATGGATTAGACATGTTGTGGGATGATGATGAAAAAGAGGGATGAATTGAGAATGATTACTAGGTTTCAGCTTTTCAAAGCTGAATGGATACTGTTAACTTCCCAGAAATAGAAACCAATAGTATGGTACAGGGTGTTGGTGGAAAAATCGTATTTTCTTTTGGATCATGTTGAGTTTGAGATGCCTTTAAGATATTGAAGAGACATAAACTAGAAAATTAGATATGCAAATCTGGAATGCAGACCAAAGGTTTGAGCTGAAGATATGAATGTGTGACTCATTTCCTTATGAGTGGTAACTGAAAATGAAGAAGTAGATGAAATCAGAGAAAATTTAGAGTAAGAAGAGTAGTTGCAGAATCAAGCCTTGAGGAACCTCAACATTGATGAGCCTGCAAGGTAAACTAGGCAGAAATAGGCAGAGAGGTAAAAGGAAAACCAATGGTATACAGTGTCAAGGTGTCAACAGCATGTTTCAAAAAGGTGGATGCAATTAATTTGTGTAATGTCGCTTAGAGACTAAGTAAGGGTTGAAAATTCCCTTTGCATTCATTGACATGGAGATTTTCTGTGATGTGATGGAACAGAACCCATGTGGGAGTGGTTGGAGAGTGATGAGAGGAGATGAAATGGAAGTGGATATGTTGGATATGTCTTAGGTTGAGCTCCTCCAAAAGCAGATCCTAGGACAAGAATTTGAGTTGAAGTGGGTTTTTGCGGAAAGGCAATCCTAGGAAGCAAGAGAAAGTGAAAAGGGAAGGTAAGGGAAAGGAAGGAAGAGAGTAAAGGGTGAGGTACTGAGCAGATTGTTGCTGGGTTAACTGAGATTCAGCTCTGCTAGGGACCTCTGGGACACAATGTAGAACACACCTCAGAGTTAGGCTTGTCCTCACTCAGGGACTAAGACATGCATATTTATCCTCCAGCTCCCACCCATCATTGGCTGAGGGATATTCCCAAGGGCACAAATTCCCATAACCCTCTGGAGTGCCTTGCACTAGACTGGAGAGAAGTCCCCAGGTAGGGTGTCCTGGCTGCTTAAAGTATTTTTTAATGGCAAAAATTGCAATTACTTTTGCATCAACCTAATAAGATGCCACTGGACTGTACTGGAAGCTGAGTGCTTAGAGGAGTTGGGTGAGGCACTGACTTCATCTGCCTTCAAATAGTATGGATAACTCGGGAAATTTGGAGATGAGTACAAGGAAGATTTGAAGTTGGCTAGATTAAGATGTAAGGTTAGGAGTGACTATTTTGTTGTTTTAAAGGGTGACATTTAAAAGCCTATGGGAAGGAAATAAATGAGAGTGAGAGGATAAGCATATAAGTTTTAAAAAGGATAATCAATTTGACAAACTGACTACTCATATTTGGGGCCATTGTTGATAGATATGTCAACTTCTGCACTTTATGTTTTCTTCACTCCCACATGATCTGTAATCATGATTATTACCTATATGTATTAGCTGGCAAAAATTTAACAA
Source organism: Homo sapiens (assembly GCF_000001405.40). NCBI lineage: Eukaryota > Metazoa > Chordata > Mammalia > Primates > Hominidae > Homo > Homo sapiens. Next base: position 15,017,384 of record NC_000023.11, read on the forward strand.
ATAATATAAAAATTATTACATGCATCAAATGATTTATTGTATAGTTCTTAATCTAAAACAACCTGCTGAGAAGCTAAGCAGGAAAGACTAAAGGATGAGGCATGCTTGGCTTCTTTAGGCAGTATTTAATTAATACTGATATGGAAGAATTTCATTTTCAAATGGGAGTAACAGATCAACATATTCCCTCACAATGCTACATATATTCTTCTAGGTGATTGAGATATATTAAAAGATGATGTAAGCTGAATTTTTAGATCAGTGTTTTCAATTTACGATGAATTCTTTAGTTTCACTATTGAGTTTGTCCTCTGCCAAAATACCTTATGTCAGAGCCAGCAAAAGCTTTTAGTCTCTGCTTATTTGCATTCCATTTCTTAAATTTAGCATATATCCAGCCAAATAAAAAATGTATTTGGCGATTTGCAGGAGCTCTGAATACTTGCTGATCTTAGACATTATAATACATCATTTTATGGAACAATCGTCAAAGTTTATCCAGTAAAGTTTATCTTAGATTTTGATTTTTGTATTTTCGTTTCCATTCATCATTTATTCATTAATTTTAATAAGTATTGATTGAATGCCAGTCAATATGATGTGTATTTAAGATATAATAATGAGTCATAAAAATACAATAAATAATTCAGGTATGTTTATATGAATGTAGTTCAGCATTCATCCATTCACTTCTTCATTTGTTATGTCTTTTTTAGGTGACGCAAGTCACAGAAAACCCAACTAACATGAAGACATTTACTATTTGTTACATGAAGTCTGTTGGTAGGTGATCCAGGACTAGCTCGGCAGTGTAATGATGTCATCAAGGAGCATGCCTTTACCTTCCCTGTTTATATTGGCCCAGCTCTAAATATAACATCCTCAAGACAATATCCAAAGCAGGAAGTGGAGGGATGAGCGAAAAGCATTTTCTTTACATAGATTTGAAATTTTGCTTCCCCAGAAGCTCCCCTACAGACTTTCCATTCCATTTCTTTTGTCACACTGAGTCACACACTCATCCCTCAACATATCGCTGACCAAAAGAGAATAGGATTGCTTTTATGGTTTAGATCCGTCACGGTTTACCCCCAAGTTATGGACTCAATTTTACCTAAGTAAAATTAGGGTTTTGATAGGTATGAAAAAGAGGGAATTGTCTTGAGTAGGCAGTCATAGATGTCTATCACAGGCCTATTCTCATAACTTTTTTTCTAAACACGATAGTCAATATTTATTGAATACATTCTAAACACACACAAGCACACACACAATACACATGAGGTTTTATGAAGAGATTGCTGCTGTGGTTGCTATGGATATTGCCTGTTGTTACTAGCCAAGGAATAGAACTGTGCCCTCTTCATTATTTAGACTGCCCTCTTGGGAATAGTCATGTTGTAGATTCCACTGTACAATGTTTTCATCACCTAATAATCAGTACAATTCAGCCAAGTATCTAGAATTCAAGGGCTATTTGACCACAGGATTAGGAATCTTTGTCTATAAAATGTATTCAAAACAACTACACAATACCATTATGTGGCATGAAGAGAGCTAAAAATCCCTTTTTCTCTGCAGTCTCTGACCCTTTCAGAAATTGTATAGAGTCACCACCTCATTGCATCCTTTCTTGTTTCCATGATTATCATAGTGCTTACACATTTAATTCTCTAATCGCCTTCATTCATTTTAGTTTGTTCCCCAATCATTTCTTCCTTTGCTCCTCCTTGCATCTTTCTCATCTTTCATCAACCATCTCAGAGTTCCATTTTGTGCCCTGTATCTTTTGGCATTTGTTATTCACCAACTTCTAATCTGTCAAAAAATAGTAAATACAAACACCTACATACATGCTTAATGCAAGATGACTCATGTTTATGACAGGAATGAAGAGGATTTATATCAATGGAGAAAAGCACCCAGTTTAGTAACATGTGCCCGGCAATTAAACTGCCCAGCTTTTGATCCCCTCCCTATCACTTATGAGGAATCTTGGGAAAGTTTCTTAACTTCTCTGGGCCTCAGATTCTTTATTTGGAAAACAGGAAAAATAACAGTACCAACCACATGAGGTGGGTATGAGATTAAATAAAATAATATAAAAGCACTTAACAATCTCTGGTGCATATTAAGTTCTCAATTAATCCTAATTATTATTATTATGTCTGCATATAGGAGTGCATGAGAATTAATAAGGCCTTTTTTTTGATATTGTCTTATTTTGTCCACATAGAATGAATCCATATATTACTTTTGCAAAAAATAAGTAAAGACAAAGATGAGTGGATTTTTAAGTTTTTTAAAATCTGGAGAGTTGGGTTTAAAATAAATAAGTAAATAAATGGCATTCCTATGAGTAGACTGCACTTGAATAATAACCTGGTTATCTTCCATAACCTCAATATTTCCCATATGTTCTATGTAATCAGCATTACCTCTACTCTTATTTGAGGTATGAATACCCGTAGTCTTTGACTGTTGTTAGCTTATGATTTGAAATAAAGTCATATCTCTTATAGGAATTTCAGTAACGAGTGTATTCTTAGATAAGTACAATAAAATCTGAACAGTCCTGAGAACTTGATAACATTGAGTTTTTACTACAAAAGGATGTTCATTTTTGGATCCAGACTCCCAGGACTATCATTAACCCAGAATATCTTACACATTTTTTAAATCACTTATGCTTACAACAAAGCCAATTATAAAATCATGAACTTTGCTAAGCTTTCCAGACTCTAGGATTCCTCCATGTGGCAATTATAAACAAGACATTGCCTAGATGCCTGGGGTCCTACAACAGTCATCTAGGTCTCCTCATATCTTGGTCCTGTGGTTCTCTTGGAAGATCACATAGTGATGAACTGAGAGAGCAAGATGACTTTCAATTGAATTGCTCTTCTATCATTCACATCTCCACTCACATATTATCTTCTATAGAGATGCCTTGGACTATAAGCAATAGACAAACTAACTCAAATGGATTAAATAACAAGGGAACGTATTTACGTCACATAATAAGAAGTCTGGAGGTAGTGTGGCTCCAGAGTACACAAATTAAGTGATTCAGAGATTTCTGGGACTAAAATTTTTTTCTATCTTTTTGCTTTTCCATCTTCAGTCTTCCCTCTCATAGTTGCAAGAAGCCTCTAGCTTCACTCCAAGTGAAGCTCCAAGCATCACCCCTCAAACATCTAAAGCCTGAAGGAGACAATATATTCTCCTCATATCTTTGTGTAAAATGGGGGACAATGGTTCCAGAAGTCTCCAGCCAACTTTCCCTTGAATCTCATTGACCAAGATTGCCTCGCTGTCCCAGTCCTAAACCAATCACTGGCAAAAGAGATAGAACCACCGCAATAGGCTCAAACCAGTTAAGATTTAACCCTTGAGGTGCAGATGGGCCTGCCTTTCACTAAAGCATATGGACACTTGCTTTAGAGGGAAACCAATATTCTTCAAGCAAAGAAAGGAGTGGTAAGGTCTTGTGGAGCAATGAGCAGTGCTATGTAGACCTTCCATGACCAACCTAAATTTCACCCCACATCCTCAATTTCTTCCTCACTATCTTGCTCTTTTTTTCCTTTATAGTTCTTATCCCTTTTAAAAACTGTATTATTTGCTCCTTGTTTATTTTCTTCCCCCATCACTGTAATGTAAGATCTGTGTGGGAAGACAGTTTGTCTGAAGGTGCTCAATAAATGTTTGCTGAATGAATGAATGGTGTTGTCCAACAAAAGCTTCCCAAAATGGTCTTTGTAGGGATAAATTCCAGAAAAAGTGGGATAGTGGCAAGGAGGGAAGAATTAAAACAGGCAGGGTGTGAGACAGACTAAGATAGAATCACAGTTGCTTTTCAGTTTATTGTCTTACCTTCAGGCAATTCTATATCTAAATTCAGCTTCGCAGCTTTAGGGAGGCTTCAGCTTTAATCAAACCATCCTGGATATGCTTTGTGGAATGTAACCTGATAGAAACCTGACTAATTGTTGTTATTGTGGCTCTACCCAGAACAAAGCTTATCTTTTCTTTGCTAGTGAACACTCAAATTACTTTGGTCTTTTGGTCCACATCCTTGGACAAATATGGATGCTGATAACACATCGTATTTTCATTTCCTGGATTTACTACTACTGTAGAAAGAGGCTGTTTTGTCTCTTGCTGAGAATTTCCACAAATAATATACCAAAGAATGTTAACCACAGATTGAGTACATAAACAGTAAGGAGACTATAGAAGATTCCTCAATCATGGGATTTACTTTACAATAAAGATAGGGACATGATAGTTCACACCTACCAAATGTAATGACTGCAATTCCTAGAAAATAAAAGAGATAGAAAAAATGAACATTAGCTGGGTACAGTGGCTCACTCCTGTAATCCCAGCACTTCGGGAGGCCAGGGCAGGAGGATTTCTTGAAGCAAAAAGTTTCAGACCAGTGTAGGCAGGAAAGTGACATCCCATTCATATATATATATATATATATATTTATATATTTATATATATTATATAAATATATATATAATTGTATAATATATATTATATATTCATATAATATAAATATAATATATAATATAATAAATATATATAATATAATACAATAATATAATATATATATATATATATATATATGTATACATATCCTACTCAAGCACCATTGGATCTGCTGGGCCATATTCTTGGGATAGGAAGAATTAAGCTCAGAAACACTTAATTTGAAATTTTAGCGGGGCACGGTGGCTCACACCTGTAATTCCAGCATTTTGGGAGGCCGAGGCAGGTGGATCACGAGGTCAGGAGATCGAGACCATTCTGGCTAACATGGCGAAACCCCATCTCTACTAAATATGATATTATAATATATATCATAATAACACATATTATATTATATTAATATATATTATATATATATTTATATATATATTTTATATATGTAATTCATATATATAATATATGATATAAGATATATAATATATATTTATATATTATATATTATATATATTTATATATATATTATATATTATATATATTTATATATATATATCCACCTCAAGCACCATTGGATCTGCTGGGTCATATGGCCCAAGTGGCAGAGCAGCTTGCACAACAGCCTAGGCCTGTTGCAAAGCCTTCTCCTGTTCTGGACCCCACTAAAAAGTGGGTGGGGTCCAGATAAATGGGCAAGAATAACACACCCAAATGAGGAATGTGTTGCCTCCAAAATCCAAATATATATATAATATATATAATATATAGTATATAATATATACTATATATCGTATATAACATGCGATATATACTATATATCGTATATAACATATAAGATATATACTATATATCGTATATAATATATATACTATATATCGTATATAATATATATACTATATATCGTATATAATATATAATATATACTATATATCGTATATAATATATAATATATACTATATATCGTATATAATATATAATATATAATATATACTATATATCGTATATAATATATAATATATAATATATATCGTATATAATATATATTGTATATAATATATAATATATATTGCATATAATATATAATATATATTGCATATAATATATAATATATATTGCATATAATACATAATATATAATATATTGTATATAATACATAATATATAATATATAGTATATAATACATAATATATAATATATATTGTATATAATACATAATATATAATATATATTGTATATAATACATAATATATAATATATATTGTATATAATACATAATATATAATATATATTGTATATAATACATAATATATAATATATATTGTATATAATACATAATATATAATATATATTGTATATAATACATAATATATAATATATATTGTATATAATACATAATATATAATATATATTGTATATAATACATAATATATAATATATATTGTATATAATACATAATATATATATAACATATAATATATAATATATAATATAATATAAATTATTAATATAATATATATTATATATAATTAATATATAATATATTTGACTAAATATATATTATAAATTATCTAATAAATTATGATATATAAATTATTTATATATTTATATATTATATAAATACAAATATATATTTATACAATTTATATTTATATTTATATAATATATAATTATATATATATTTTTATATTATATATTATATATATTTTTATATTATATATTATATATATTATATATGTTTATATATAATTAATGTATATTTATATATTATACTTATATATAAATATATAAATATATATATTTATATATTATAGTTGTATATAAATATATAAATATATATTTATATATTATAGTTGTATATAAATATATAAATATATATTTATATATTATAGTTGTATATAAATATATAAATATATATTTATATATTATAGTTAATATAAATATATGAATATATATTCATATATAATATATATAAATTATATATTTTATACAATTATAGAATGTATAATATGATAATATCATATACATATTATATTATTATATTATATTATTGTATTATATTATATTATCTATAATATGTAATATACAAATAATCTATAATATAATGTAATACATATTATATATTATATATTTATATATAAATTTATGTACATTTTTATATATAGAAAAATGTACACAAAAGGCAATTTATTCTACTTTATAGAAAGTTTTAAAGGATATCATTTCATGTTTTCCACTCAAATAGCAGCAGGCAATGATATACTCTTATTCATCTCTTATTTTTTCCTAAGTTGTGAAATGAAGATAAAATATTTCAGTGAATTAGTGCAACTGCTTTGCAATAAGATCACCTTGTTACCTTTCAGGTCTCAGCCTCAAAAGAGATTTCTTTAGAAAGTCCTTCCTGACTGTCCTATCTAATGTTATCCTCTCCTGTCCTCCCCCATCATATCATCTTGTTTTATTTTCTTGGCATTTTTCACTAGTTGAAATCATTGTTTATTTACTTCCTAATTTATTTGTTGTCTATCCTCTCTTGCAGTAGCCCTTGCACCCAGACAAGCACTTTAGCACATGGCAGGTGCTCAATCGTTATTTAAGGAATTATGTATTCATCAGCTGGCTTTCTACACATTGATAGTAATTGCCCTCTGAACACCCTTCCCTTATCATCTTTCTCCTTGTTTCTGCTGCCTTTTATAAAGATATTACCTTAAACATCTTGTGAGATGCCAATTCTTTAAAAAGTTAAACAGAGAATTGCCATATGATCCAGCAATTCTACTCCTAGGTATGTATCCAAAAGAAATAAAAAAATACGTCCACACAAAAACGTGGAGCATTATTTATAGTAGCCAAAAAGTAGAAACAACCCAAATGGCTATTAACTGATGTATGCATGAATAAAATGTAGTCTATCAATACAAAGAAATATTATTTGGTAATAAAAAGGAATGAAATACTAATACATACTACAATATGGATGAGCCTTAAAAATATGCTAAGTGAAAGAAGCCAGTCACAAAAGGTACATACTATATGACTCCATTTGTATGAAACATCCAGGAAAGCAAATATGCAAGATGGAACATAAACTAGTGGGTGTGTAGGGCTGGGAGTTCTGGAAACTAGAGGTGACTGCTAATGGGTATGAAGGTTTCTTTTTTTCCCTTTAACTGCCAACATGGAATTCTTTATTTGTTAAGTTATCCTTCACAAATGAAAGCAAGACACAAACATTCCTTTCTTTCTGTTTTATAACAAGGCTTTATTTTAAAGGTAATGAAAATGTTCTGAAATTGATTGTAGTGGTGGTTGCACATCTCTATGAATATAATAAAAACAGTTGAATTCTGCACATTAAATTGGTGAATTGTAAGGTATGTGAATTATATTTCAATAAAGATATTATACTTAAAAATTTGGGAAGGGAAAGAGAAAAGGTAAAATCTAGACTAGTGATTTTAAAAGACTCTATGAGGGAGAAAAATTTTGATGAAATAAGGTATAGGAGTCATTCTTTTCTTTAATTCATTTAACAAATACTTATTGAGGCATACAAACAGTATAGGGATGTGACTTTGTGACAGAGAAGCAAATCATCATTACTATCTGTAAGAATAACCAGATCCACACTTCACACAGAGCAACAACCAAGTGCTTTATGGGACCAGGAAGGCAGATGCTCACAAGTGGATGAAACTACATTACATTTTGCAGTTGAGATATATGAGAAAATATTGCCTATCAACACCAAGCCCTGCAATAGAGACTGGAGAAATTGCCAAACTTTTTGGAAAAGATAAAATACATTTCAAAGGTATGAGAGGCCACTCTCATACCAATGAGGCGCTATTGTTAAGGAGCCTAAAATCAATGTGTCAGAGATTTCCTGCTGACTCTGAACAGAAGCTGATGCTAAACTTCTAGGGACATATAATTGAGTAGAGGAAATATAAGAGTCAAGTAATCAATGCTAACAAAACCCAATGTTCTTTAGTGTGTCCCACAATAATACTGTCAATATTAAAGATCAGAAAAAGTTCCTTCTACAACTAAAATTTGAATTCATGACAAAACATTGTTTCAATTTAATTGCCAGTGTTTTTTTAAAAAAATTAGTGATAAATAATAAAGGTTTTTGACATCTTTGATTCATCAAAATATAGTATATCCAGAAAATGTTCCATAAAGACCTCTGTATTACAAAAAATATTTTAACAAAGTCTTAATACACAAACAATAGACTGGAAAAAATTTTTGTAACACAGAGAACAGATAGTGGTTTAGTATAAATAACACAAAAAAGACTCTTAAAAATTGTCAAAATGGAAAAAAATAACCTACAAAAAGAATGGATGAAGAATCTGAAGAGACATTTTCAGGAGGGTAAATCCATTTGGCCAAATAAAAATATTAGGATAAAACCTTTTTAAGTAACAAAATATCATGTTACATTTGTAAGATTGACAACAATTCTAAAGGCTCATAATACTTTTTGCTGACGGGAATACTGGGGAAAATAGCAATTACAAAATTGCTGGTGGAAATGTGAATTATGACAATTATTTTGGAAAGCAATCAGGTAGGATTGATTGAAATTAATACAAATATATACTTTAACTCAGTGAGATGGTTAATTTTGTGTCAACTTGACTGGGCCATAGGAGTACCCAGATATTTGGCTAAATATTATTCTTGTGTCTGTGTGGGTGTTTCCAGATGAGATTAGCATTTGAATCAGTAAACTGTGTAAAGCAGATGGCCCTCCCCAAAGTGAGTGAGCATTATCCAATCCCTTGAGAACCTGAATAGAACAAACAGGCAGGCGAAGGGAGAATTCACTCTTTGCTTGACTGCTTGAGCTGGGACATTAGTCTTCTCCTGCCTCCAGACTGAACTTATACCATTGGCTCTCCTGGTTCTCAGGCCTTTGGATTCAGATTGGCTTTCGTGGGTTTCTACCTTGCAGATGCCAGATCAAGGAATTTCCTAGCCTCCACAATCATGAGCTAATTCTTTATAATCTCTCTATCTCTCTGTGTGTGTGTATGTATTAAAATTTATAGAGATTTGTCAATATTTAATTTTAAATCATATATACTTCTCTCTCTCTCTCTCTCTCTCTCTCTCTCTCTCTCTCTCTCTCTCTCTCTCTCCTATTGGCTCTGTTTCTGTGGAGAAGTATGACTATCCTAACACGCTTAGTAATCCCTCTATTAAAAGACTCTCTCACAAAAATAAGAGTACTGTAAATAAAGATATGTATTTCAAGGGTTACGGCAGATGTCAGCAGTGTGTCCAGACTCCATCTGCTCTCCTTACTGCCTCATTGCCTACCAGCCTACCTTCCAATAGGCAGTGCATGCATTTCTTTGTCCAAGATTGTTCCTGGAGCCTGCTTTGACACACCTGCAAAGTACTGAGGAGTTAATGTTCCCTAAGAGTAGCCCACAACCAATCACTGGTAGGAATTGGTATAAATACCCCAACTCCCTAACCCTTGGATATTAAGATCCTGAAGCATGTTTTCTCTGAGAGCTCCCCAACAGAATTAAGTTCTAATTGTCCACAGTGAATGGTTAAATAGATTACAATCATATGATGAAATATTAAGCAACCATTATGCAGTTAACTCATGCTATACCAAATTCTTTTTAATTATTTTAATAAGGTAGTGTTGAGTGAGAGAAACAAGATCCAGAAAGGTGGGTTTAATACGATTTCAATTTGTGGGTTTAATATGATCTAAATTTTATAAACAATGACCAAAACTTATATGTATGTGCACATATCAAAGTTTCTTAAACTCTATACTGTTGCTATTTTGGGCTGGATAATTCTTTGTTGTAGGGAACTGTCCTGTGCATTGTAGGATGTTGAACAGCATCCCTGGCCTCTACCCACTACATGCTGGTAGCACCCCCTCAGTTGTGAAAACCAAAAATATCTACAGACATTGCCAGATGTGCCTTAGTGGGCAAAATTTATTGTAATTTATGGATCACATATCTGTGTATATATAATATGCATATGTATGTTATGATTACATGAGCATAAAGAAAAAAATACAACAATTATATATATTACATTGTTAACATTAGTTATCTATGGGGACAAAAGTGTAAAATGAACAGAGAAGGTCAGAAGGAGGGAGGAAAAAGTAAGGAAAGCAAAAAAGCATAAAATGAGATTTTTATGCATTTATATAAGTACTTTTATAAAAATTAAAAGTACAAAGTTTTGTTACTTGAAAGGGAAGGCATTACCAGAAGCCTTACTCATGGGAAAGCATTGGATGTCATTGCTTTTTATGCCTGGCACAACTCTTTCTTTTGGGACCTGTCACTCCCACAGCACACTTGATTCTGATGGAACTGACAACCCTAGAATATCATCTGGGCTGCAAGAGTGGGCATTTGACCCAGGCCTTGTGCTTTGGTCTGAATGTTTGTGTCCTCCCCCAAATTCATATGTTGAATCCTAATCACCAAGGTGATGGTATTAGGAGGTAGGGCCTTTGGGAGGTAATCAGGTCATGAGGGTAGGCCCCTCATGAAAGGGATTTTAAAATGGGCTTCCTTATAAAAGAGACCCCAGAGAACTGCCTTGCTCCTTCCACCATATGAGGACACAGTGAGAATTTGCTGTCTATGAAGAACCAGCCCTCACCAGACACTGAATCTGCTGGTACCTTGATCTTGGACTTTCGAGCCTCCAGAACTGTGAGAAAGAAATTTCTGTAGCCTGTAAGCTACCTAATCTAAGGTATTTTGTTATAGCAGCTTGAACAGACTCAGACAACTTGCCAATCATGATATCTTATATTTCTCCCAATAGTGATTGGGCTAAGGCCCAAACAGATACTTACACAAGAGTTTGAATCACAAGCTATGTGGTTGAACATGGTTAACAGTCAAGACATAGGGAAAAAGACAGGAGGACAGAGAGAAGGGAGAGAGGAAGAGGGAGACCTGGTGGCATCATTTGAGACCCTGGATGTAGATGAGCCTTAAGTTAATTTTACCTTAAGACTTCATGATTATTATGCAAACCAAACCACTAAAGTTATTCTTTTGTTTTCTTTGCCTTGGATTATTTGAGTCCTGCTTCTTTCACTGTATTAGCCCAAAGATTCTGACTAATACAATGTAATAATGAATTCACCAACAATAGGCATATTAAGGTTTTCTTTTTGAGACAGTCTCACTCTGTCCCCTAGGCTGGAGTGCAGTGGCACTACGATGGCTCACTGCAGCATTGACCTCCAGGGCTCAATCAATCCTCCCACCTCAGCCTTCAAGTAGCTGGGACTACAGGCACATGCCACCATGCCCAGCTAATTTTTGCATTTTTTTGGTAGAGATGGGGTTTCACCATTGTTGCCCAGGCTGGTCTCAAACTCCTGGGATCAAGTGATCCACGCACTTTGGCCTCCCAAAGTGCTGGGATTACAGGTGTGAGCCACAGTGCCTGGCCAAGATTTTTTTTTTTTTAACAGAGATTATATAGAACATACTGTGGTATGGGAACAAATGGGATATTTTTATTTTATGGGTGATTGTATGATAGCTTTGGGAAATTTATGAGGTAATTTTTTCTTTTCCATTCATAATTTTTATTTTTAAAAAAACTCTCAGCAACTGCCCAAGGTAATTTACAGATTCAATGTCATCCCCATCAAGCTACAAATGACTTTCCTCATAGAATTGGAAAAAACTACTTTAAAGTTCATATGGAACCAAAAAAGAGCCCGCATCACCAAGTCAATCCTAAGCCAAAAGAACAAAGCTGGAGGCATCAGGCTACCTGACTTCAAACTATACTACAAGGCTACAGTAACCAAAACAGCATGGTACTGGTACCAAAACAGAGATATAGATCAATGGAACAGAACAGAGCCCTCAGAAATAATGCTGCATATCTACAACTATCTGATCTTTGACAAACCTGAGAAAAACAAGCAATGGGGAAAGGATTCCCTATTTAATAAATGGTGCTGGGAAAACTGGCTAGCCATATGTAGAAAACTGAAAATGGATCCCTTCCTTACACCTTATACAAAAATCAATTCAAGATGGATTAAAGACTTAAACGTTAGACCTAAAACCGTAAAAACCCTAGAAGAAAACCTAGGCATTACCATTCAGGACATAGGCATGGGCAAGGACTTCATGTCTAAAACACCAAAAGCAATGGCAACAAAAGACAAAATTGACAAATGGGATCTAATTAAACTAAAGAACTTCTGCACAGCAAAAGAAACTACCATCAGAGTGAACAGGCAACCTACAAAATTGGAGAAAATTTTCGCAACCTACTCATCTGACAAAGGGCTAATATCCAGAATCTACAATGAACTCAAACAAATTTACAAGAAAAAAACAAACAACCCCATCAAAAAGTGGGAGAAGGACATGAACAGACACTTCTCAAAAGAAGACATTTATGCAGCCAAAAAACACATGAAAAAATGCTCACCATCACTGGCCATCAGAGAAATGCAAATCAAAACCACAATGAGATACCATCTCACACCAGTTAGAATGGCAATCATTAAAAAGTCAGGAAACAACAGGTGCTGGAGAGGATGTGGAGAAATAGGAACACTTTTACACTGTTGGTGGGACTATAAACTAGTTCAACCATTGTGGAAGTCAGTGTGGCAATTCCTCAGGGATCTAGAACTAGAAATACCATTTGACCCAGCCATCCCATTACTGGGTATATACCCAAAGGACTATAAATCATGCTGCTATAAAGACACATGCACACGTATGTTTATTGCGGCATTATTCACAATAGCAAAGACTTGGAACCAACCCAAATGTCCAACAAGGATAGACTGGATTAAGAAAATGTGGCACATATACACCATGGAATACTATGCAGCCATAAAAAATGATGAGTTCATGTCCTTTGTAGGGACATGGATGAAATTGGAAATCATCATTCTCAGTAAACTATCGCAAGAACAAAAAACCAAACACCGCATATTCTCACTCATAGGTGGGAATTGAACATTGAGAACACATGGACACAGGAAGGGGAACATCACACTCTGGGGACTGTTGTGGGGTGGGTGGAGGGGGGAGGGATGGCACTGGGAGATATACCTAATGCTAGATGACGAGTTAGTGGGTGCAGCACACCAGCATGGCACATGTATACATATGTAACTAACCTGCACATTGTGCACATATACCCTAAAACTTAAAGTATAATAATAATAAATAAATAAAATAATAAAAAAAAAGAGCCAGGCAAGGTGGTGCACACTTGTAGTCCCAGCTACTTGGAAGGCTGTGACAGAGAATTGCTTGAGCCTAGGAGTTCAAGACTAATCTAGACAAACATAGCAAGACCTCCACATAAGGTAAACTTCCTGGTTTTTAAAAATTCTGTGAGTTGAGTTCTGCTTCCTCAGAGGGGAATTCTAAGTATCTGCACTTTGTATCTGATTTATTTATTTTATTTTTTTGAGACAGAGACTCTGTCTCCCAGGCTGGAGTGCAGTAGCACGATCTTGGCTCACTGCAACCTCCACCTCCTAGGCTCAAGCAATCCTCCCACCTCAGGAGGGAGCTGGGACTACAGGTGCCTGCCACAACACCTGGCTAATTTTATATGTTTTTGTAGAGACAGATTTCATCATGTTGCCCAGGCTGGTCTTGAATTTCTGGGTTCAAGCAATCTGCCGGCCTCAGCCACTGTGCCTGGCCTGTGTCTGATTTATAATACAACATACGATTGATTTTAAAGCTCTTTTTTGTGATTTGTTGTAATTTGGGACCACAATAATTTTTTTTCCAATCCCTTCTTCAGACATACATAATAAAATTTCTAAAGAAGCAGTATTAGTATTATTAAAAAAAAAAAAGCTCTCAGCAAACTAGGATTTTTAAAAAATAATTTCAACTCTTGGCCGGGCGCAGTGGCTCACGCCTGTAATCCCAGCACTTTGGGAGGCCAAGGCGGGTGGATCACAAGGTCAGGAAATCGAGACCATCCTGGCTAACACGGTGAAACCCCATCTCCACTAAAAATACAAAAAAATTAGCCGGGCGCGATGGCGGGCGCTGGTAGTCCCAGCTACTCTGGAGGCTGAGGCAGGAGAATGGCGTGAACCCGGGAGGCGGATTTTGCAGTGAGCCGAGACCACGCCACTGCACTCCAGCCTCAGAGACAGAGCAAGACTCCATCTCAAAATAAATAAATAAATAAATAAATAAATAAATAAATAAATAAATAAATAAAATAAAAATAAATAATAATAATAATAATTTCAACTCTTATTTAAGATTCAGAGGGTACCTGTGCAAGTTTGTTACATGGGTATACTGAGTGATGCTGAGGTTTATTGTACAATTGATCGCGTCACCGAGGTAGTGAGCATAGGACTCAATAGGTAAGTTTGTCAACTCTTTTCTCCCTCTCTCCCCCTCTATTAGTCACTAGTGTCTATTGTTGCCATCTCTATGTTCTTGTGTACCCAATGTTTAGCTCCCACTTACAAATGAGAACATGCGAGATTTGGTTTTCTGTTCCTGCATTAATTCACTTAGGATGATGGCTCCAGCAGCATCCATGTTGCTACAAAGGACATGATTTTACTCTTTTTTCATGGTTGTGTAGTATTCCATGGTCCATATGTATAAAAGGTAAATTTCTAGTGGAGTTCTTATGAGTTAATAAAAATGATTTTGTAGGGATGGATCTAGGTTAGGGGAACAGCTTGCTTTTCATAACTAATGAAGCATCCCAAGGAAGGCTGGCACAGTGTTTTGGTTATGTTTTCTGTGCTGTGGTGGCCAGCAGCTTCACACAGATGCAACCTGACCGAGTCTTGCCACAAGCCATGCTTCTTCCTGTGCTGATGCTTCTGTGACAGCACAGCATAAGCCACTCAGACAAGTCCATTTGGCCCTCGTGCACATACAACCAGGAAGTGTGTATAGGAATGAGAATACCCATAGATTCATCCTTGGCCAGTGGGGTTGGCAACTGAAGGATAAAGGTTCTCTCGTTGGTGCTCTAGACCAACAGTTCTGAGATGCATCTCATAAGTCTCCTGGGAGGGTCCTAGGTAATCAAGTACAAATAATCTATAGTGGAAGCTGACTCAATAAAATATTTTTGCATTGGCTTTTTATTTTTCCATGATCTCCTCATCCTCCCTCACATACACACATGCTAGTCTTTCTCTCCCATGTCTCTGGATCAGGTCTTGTTATGGTCTGAATGTGTGTATCCTCCTAAAATTCATACGTTGAAATCCTAATCCCCAGTATGGTAATATTAGGAGATGGGGACTTTGGAAGGTAATTGGGTTATGAGACCAGAGTCCCCATGAAGGGGATTAGCGCCCTTATAAAAGAGGTCCCAGAGAGACCCTTACGCTTCTGCCATGTGAGGACACAAGAAGAAGTTGGCTGTCTACAACCCAGAAGACATCCCTTACTAGAACTTGACCATGCTGGCACCATGATCTCAGATTTCCAGCCTCAAGATCTATGAGAAATAAATTTCCATTGTTTATAAGCCATCCAGTCTACAGCAATTTGTTATAGCAGCCTGACTGGACAAAGACAGGCCTGAAGTATACCCTCTGCACACAAGCTTTTTCCTTAGGCTTTACTTTTGGAAAATCCCAGGCTAAGACATACAGATACATGGACATTCTCTAATATCATTCTGTCGTATCCCCATACCATCTTTACACACCCTGCCCCCAAATAGTTTGACAGCATTTCATTATCACTGAACAGAAAAAAAAAATCCATAGTTTCACTTTTACTTTGACCTCTAAGAGTAGAGGAATTAACTAGAAAGGGCAAAAGAGGTACCTTTTGTAGAATTAGAGGTAAGGTCTTCGCCTATGGCACTGAGATTAACTGAGTGATACAATATTCTCTTGCATGACTGCATTTCCAGCAGAATGGTTTGTTCAAAAGGAAAATGCAAGTTCTGATAGGGAGCCTGGGGAAAGGCCTGCAGGAAACTTGAAAGCTTGCTCATGAGGAAATATGGTACGAGCACATTACTCTATTGATTTTTACTAAATATAAGGAATCTTCCAACAGCTAGATTTACTTTGACTGATACATTTGGAAATGAAATGCATGCTCCCCAGAAACTCCCTTCCCCTATCCTGAAACTGGTGTCTAAGGCCAACCTGATAAAATCTTCCTTCTCATCTGAATAGCATGATTTCAGTCAAACACTAACTGTCAATGATGGGGCTATGACTCAGTATAGGAGATGTGTTACAGAAAGAGAAAGGGAAATTTTAAGATCCACTTTTGCCTTCTTTGGGGTTCCTGTTGTGTTTGTTTATTCTCTAGACTCAATAAGGCAACCTCTGCACAGGAAGGTTGTAGTGTGAGGACAGATGGAGAATGGTAGGCAACAATATCCTTTTCCTTCCTTCCCTCCCTTTCTTCTTTAGTCCTATATACAGATGTATATGCTGGGAATGAGGGTAGAGGGAGACTAACTGGCCAGCTCTGAATTTCCTAGATCAAACAGAAGCTGCCAGATGAACTCAGAACTCCTTGGCCTTGCTGGAGAAAATTGCAATAGGTTTGTCTCATTATAACCTAGTCTCAAGATGGTACAAGTCTACAGATATCTTTCACCTGTATATATCTAATTTTCCCTGGATATTACAGAGTAGGTTTTGGTGCCTGCACAACATACCAGTAAGGGTAAGTATCAACAGTACTTTTCATTTCAAAGAAATCAAAATAGTGTTGCTTTTTGGTTTCGTTTCTAATCCCAAATCACCATTCCATGGACATTGTAGTGGAGTCTGTAAAAGCTTGAGTTTCTCTATTTTCCTATTTTATCATTTCAGATCAGGTAAAAGTGTAAAATACTAAATGGATATAATGTATAGATTGGCTAGACTTAGAAGAGTTCATACAAGGATATGAGGAATTTAAATCTCAAAAATGCATTTTAGCATAGCCCTCCTTAAGGAATATATTGATGTAGCAATGTTAATAGCAAGTACAGCTTTCTTTTTGATTATGTGTTTGGTTTCTAAGAAAAAAAAGGATGGAAAAATGGTAAATCTATATTTGATTCATGTATCATAAGTAAATTTATTTCCTCTGAAAGGGAGATGGGATAATTTGGAGGAAATAATTCTGAAAATTTTCTATTAAAACAGCATGGTGTATCTCTCTTTATATATAAAATTATCTGAAGAAAACATATTAAATTTAAAGGAAATAAGATAATGCTACTACAAATTTTCCTGGAAAAATATAAATGCAATCAACAAAGTTGAAACTATTTTTTTCTATGTTTTGCAAACCATCTGTAGGTAGGAAAATAAATTGTCCTGCTTAGAGCTGACTGAAACCATGATTAAAATGAGCAAAAATTACAAATATACTATGTGTTGGTACAGCTAATTTGGCTGTGCCTAAAAATTTAATTGAGAAATTGAATACAGATCCCGAAGCTAAATATTTGCATATGAATGCAAAATCTCAAACAAATTAGCTTGTGAAAGAAATGCCACCATTTTCATGTCCAAAAAATTCATAGTAATGAGAAGCATTATCATGGAATAATCCCCTTAATTCAAAATAGAGAGCAATCCTTTCCCAAGTGATTTCAAAGCTTCTGCCACCTTCTGGGATTCTGAAGGATTCACCATAAAAGGGTATTGGAGGCACCTAAATATTTCCAACAGAGATATCGGTGAGCAGAGAGCAAACAGAGAGAAAGAAGCAAAGACTGATGTATTTTTAATAGATTCAAATAGCTACTGAGAGAATGCACCCAATACTGGTTATCCAGCTTTGGAAGTCCTACTCATTTTCAGAGTACCTGCCATTTTCCCAATGATCCCAGGTCATGTCAGTAAGAGTCACTTGCTTCCTTGTCTATAACCCCCAGGGTGCCAACTTTTAGGACCACTTAATGAGGCTTGTGGGTTTACACAAACCATGCCAGGCAGATTTTGTGGTGGGGATGGAAGCTGGGGCCTGGCACTAAACCTGACTGGCCAAAAGAGTGATAGACTGGGCTGTTAGAAGAGGTATGGCTACAGGGTATGGATAGCATTCAAGGGTATAGTGACCTATGCTTAGGTTCAGGCAAATGCTTACTCTCAGGAACCGAGGGAGGTAATCCCTGTCCTTTCTGGGAGATGAAGTTTTTCATGGGTGACCCTGGCTCTCGCTCCTTGGAAGACCCAATGGGCAAGTGTCTGGGAGCCTGTCCATAGGCAGCTGGTGCCTCATCCAGTGATAGGACACTTGATTTAGTGAGTGTATTAGTCCATTATCTATTGCTTATAAAAGAACACCTGAGGCCGGGCATGGTGGCTCATGCCATGTAACCCCAGCACTTTAGGAGGCCGAGGCGGCTGGATCACCTGAGGTCAGGAATTCAAGACCAGCCTGACAAACATGGTGAAACCCTGTCTTTACTAAAAATACAAAAATTAGCTGGGCATGGTGGTGTGTGCCCGTAATCCCAGCTACTTGGGAGGTTGAGGCAGGAGAATCTTTTGAACCCAGGAGGCAGAAGATGTAGTGAGCCGAGATCGTGCTAATGCACTCCAGCCTAGGCGACAGAATGAGACTTGTCTCAAAAAAAAAAAGAAAAAAAAAAAAAAAAAAGAACACCCGAAACTGGGTGATTTATAAAGAAAAGGACTTTATTTTTCACAATTATAGAGATTGGGAAGTCCAAGGTTGACAGGCCAAATCTGGTGAGGGCCTTCTTGCTGATAGAGACTCTGCAAAGTTCTGAGGTGGTACAGGGCATCACATGGCAAGGAAGCTTAGCCTGCTAGCTCAGGTCTCCCTTCCTCTTCTTACAAAGCTACCAGTCCAACTCCCATAAGAACCCATTAATATATCAACCCGTTAATCCATTAATTTATTAATCAATGGGTGGATTAATCCATTCCTGAGGTCAGAGTCCTCATGATTCAATCACCTCTTAAAAACCTTGCCTCTCAATACCACCACATTGAGGATTAAGATTCAAAATGAGTTTTGGAGGGGACAAACATTCAAACTCTAGCAGTAAGTATTGTGAAGGAGTACAAAAATAGGCTCTGGATTTTCAAGAAGAGCTAGGAACCAGACAGACTAGTGGAAGAGGAATTACAAATGGAGAGGAAAGCAAAGCAGAAGCATAACACTACTTCTGGGGAACAGAGAAGCTACGGCAAAGGAAGAACTCTGGCTGGGTACCCAGTTGCCAGGAATTAGATATAAATGGGGAGGATGAGTGACCTGCCACAGAGAGAACACAGGAATCCAGTGGTCTGCACTCATCAGATAACATCACAGACCTCACAGCGGCAATGGAGGAACCTTCAGGGACCACATTCCAGTTCAGCCTCATAAGTCAGGTGCCTATGTATTTCCTGTCTAAACCAGGATTGCTTTGGGAAGTGGAACAGGGATGTTTAATTCACAGACTAGTGCAAAAAACTGTCAGGGATGTGGGGAAGACAGGCAGTGCATCCCTACACTTCATTTCTACCCCGTGTTAAAGCTTTTCACATGTCTCATTCAGAGGATGGTTAGTTCTTGGAGAGTAGGAGGAGGACCCCTGTCTAATTCATGTGTGCATCTTCCACAGCATCTACTGTGGTAGGTACTATATGCACAGTAGGGAGACCTCAAAAGATATTTACAGTGGCAGATTTAATTTTGAGCGGAGTTACACAGATTCTTTTGTATCAGCCAACCAGTTGGGATCACAGGCATTAAGAATGAGAGGCAGGAAAAAGGGGGAGGAATACATCTAGAAGCTTTGGAGAAGCACCTCATTCCACCCAATGGAGCACTTATGAGACCATTAATCTTACCATCCATTGGAGTCACTTGGGTCTACAACCTCCCAGGGTCTAAGAGTCTTATGTGAACAACCACTGCACAGCAATGGCAACTAACACATATTTCTTATGTCAACACAGATGACACTGTGCCAAGCTCTGGGGCTACATAAGTGAAAAAGACAATAAGATTCTGTCTTTGAGGAGCTTAATTTAATGGAGGGAATAATCACAAAAATAATTGATGACGGTTGTGAAAAGGGCTATAAGAAAAAAATGAAGGTCATATGGAAATATGTAAATAGGGCTTTTTCTGAAGCTGTGGGTGGTTGCTCAGCCCAAACAAGGAACAGCTCATAAGTGCTGAGAAGTACTTTGGGAAGCCAAGGCAGGTGGATTGCTTGAGCTCAGGAATTCAAGACCAGCCTGGGCAATGTGGTGAAACCCTGTCCCTACAAACAAACAAACAACAACAACAACAAATTAGCTGGGTGTGCTGGCACATGCCTGTAGTCCCAGCTACTTGGAGGGCTGAGGTGGGAGGATTGCTTGAGCCCAGGAGGCCAAGGCTGCAGTGAGCTGAGATCATGCCACTGCACTGCACTCCAGCCTGAGTGACAGAGTGAGAGACCCTGTCTCAAAAAAAAAAAAAAAAAAAAAAAAAAAGAGGTGCTGAGAAGTTAAATTCCCCAAGGGCAATCTTCTGGAAGAAGGCACTAGCCTCACCTTCCACAGAAAAGACAATTCTGAGTCGTATTCTACGTGGTTTCTCAGAGGGTCAGTTTTAGGATTGCTAGGATTGAGCCTTAGTTACTTAATAGTGGTCTTTAATGACTCATTAACATGCTCTTTTTTAGATTCTCTTTCCTTTATGTCCCACTGCTTGCTATCATTGGAATACTTATGTTCCCATAAAATTCATATGTTGAAATCCTAATCCCCAGATGATGATATTAGGAGGTGGGGCCTTTAGGAGGTGATTGGGTCATAAGAGTGGAGCCCTCATGAATGGGATTAGTGTCCTCATAAAAGAGGCCTGAGAGAGCTCCCTTGCCCATTCCACCATGTGAGGGTACACTGGTGAGAACACATCTATGAAGGAAGAAGGCCCTCACCAGACATCGAACCTGCGGCACCTTTTATCTTGGACTTCCCAGACTCCAGAACTGAGAAATACATTTCTATTGTTTGTAAGCCACTCAGTCTGTGGTCATTTGCTATAGCAATCTGAATGGACTAGAACACTGCTCATTTTCTTCCCTCTGCCCCCTGGGATAAAGCTGTCAGATAAAATATAGGACATTCAGTTAAATGTCTAAAAATATCTCTCAAATGGTATATACTTACAATAAAAAAGTATTCATTGTTTATCTGTAAAGAAAACTGGGCATTCCGGATTTTTATTTGCTAAATCTAGAAACCTTAACAGTGAAAAACTTCCCAAATAAATTACCCTTCTCTCAAGTCCTTGTTTGGGACTCTGTTTTCAGGGAAATATAAACTAAGATGAGAATTGCCATCCAAAAAAAGGTCAGCGGAAGAAACAGGGTAACCAGGCAGGAAGGCGGAAGCACAAATGAGTGATGTCTGAAAAGAAAATGGAAACTGTTTTAGAAAGGCATTCTCATCATTTGCCAGGAATTGTCAAATGATGCCAGGTACTGCCAAAGTGCTAAGGTCTTTTTATTGATTATCTCATTTTCTCTCACACAACCCTATAAGGTAGGTAATGTTCTTACTTTCCTCTTCAGATGAGAGAGCCAAAGTTTACAGAGGTTAATTAACTTGGCGCAAGCCACGTAGTTGTACAGGAGGGAAAAACCATTCTGGTCCTCCAAATCTAAGTCTGTCTCTCTCTGTTGTGCTCATGCTTGACCCCAAAGCCTTTATTAAGGTCTGATCCTTTCAGCCTTTAGCACTTTACTTACAGTACTAGGCACTTAACTCAGGGGAATATGGAGGCAACATGACTTGCAATTAAGAATAGCCACATACCACATGCTGTTTGAAAAGAGGCCATGTTTTTTGTTTCTTTATTTACTTATTTTAAGACTCACTGGGGCCAGGCGAGGTGGCTCACGCTTGTAATCTCAGCACTTTGGGAGGCTGAGGTGGGTGGATCACCTGAGGTCAGGAGTTCGAGACCAGTCTGGCCAACATGGTGAAACCACATCTCTACTAAAAATATAAAAATTAGCTGGCCATGGTGGCGGACGCCTGCAATCCCAGCTACGCAGGAGGCTGAGGTGGGAGAATCGCTTGAATCCAGGAGGCAGAAGTTGCAGTGAGCTGATATCACACCACTGCACTCGAGCCTGGACAACAGAGTGAGACTCTGTCTCAAAAAAAAAAAAAGGCTTCATTGGAAAATTTCAAATATATGCAAAAGTAAAGAAAATGGCATAAGCCCCATATCACTATCACTCAACTTCAAAAATTGTCATAATTCTGTCATTCTTGTTTCATCTCTACCCTTTCTAAAATATTTTAAAACAAATCCTAGTCAACATATTATTTCACATGTACATATTTCTGCAACTTGTAAATGTTACCTTATATGAGAAAAGGTCTTTGTAGATGTGATTAAGTTAAAGACCTTAAGACAGGGTTATTATCCTGGATTATCCAGATGGGCCCTAAAAGCAATCACGAGTTTCCTTATAAAAGGGAGGCAAAGGTAGATTTGACACAGAAAGTGACGTGACAATGGAAGCAGAGAGATTTGAAGATGCCACACGGTTGGACTTCAAGATGGAGGAAGTGGACCATGAGGCAAGGTATACAGCTTTAGAATCTGGAAAAAGCAAGAAAACAGATTATCCCTGTATTAGTCCGTTCCCATGCTGCTAATAAAGACATACCCAAGACCGGGTAATTTATAAAGGAAAGAGGTTTAATTGACTCACAGTTCAGCAGAACTGGGGAGGCCTCAGAAAACTTACAATCATGGTGGAAGGGGAGGCAAATACATCCCTCTTCACATGGCAGCAACAAGAAATGCAGAGAGAAGTGGGGGAAAGCCCCTTATAAAACCATCAGACCTCATGAGAACTAACTCACTATCACAAGAACAGAATGGAGGTAACCACCCCCATGATTCAATTACCTCCCACTGGGTCCCTCCTACAACACATGGGGATTATGAGAACTACAGTCAAGATGAGATTTGGGTGGGACATAGCCAGGCCATATCAATCCTGTACAGCCTCCAGAAGGAGTGTGGTCCTGCTGACATCTTGGTTTCAGCCAAGTGAAACTGATTTCAGATCAGGTAATTCTAGAACATTTTCATCACCCCAAAAGGAAAACTCACAATCTTTATTTTATTTTTAATTTTTGTCAAATATACAATGCAAGGCTTAATCATGGAAGTCTAGTTTGTATTTCTGTCCCTTCCATCCTTTTTCTCTTTTTTCTCCTTTTTAAAAGTTTTTGTTTAACCTTTAATTGTTTTTATTATTATAAACAAATATGTGTAGATAATCTTTTTTTTTTTTCTTTTTGAGACAGAGTCTTGCTCTGTCACCCAGGCTAGAGTGCAGTGGCGCGATCTCGGCTCACTGCAACCTCTGCCTCCCGGGAAGTGATTATCTTGCCTCAGCCTCCTGAGTAGTTGGGATTACAGGTGACCACCACTGCATCTGACTAATTTTTGTATTTTTAGTAGAGACGGGGTTTCACCATCTTGGCCAAGCTGGTCTCGAACTCCTAACCTCGTGATCCACCCATCTCAGCCTCCCAAAGTGCTGGGATTATAGGCATGAGCCACCGAGCCTGGTCCCCATAGATAATCTTATTTTCTTAGTTGGTTAGTAGAACAGTATATGTACTTTTTATACCTTGTTTTTTTCCACTTGATAATATGTCCTGGAAATGATTGCAAAGCAATATTTACAGACATCTCACAATTCTTTTCAGAGCTGCACTATTCTCTGTTGTGTGGGTGTACCTTAGTCTATTCAATCAGTCTCCTAATTATGGACATTTGGGTGTTTCTAGTCTTTTGCCATTATGAATAGAGCTGCAATGAATAGTCTTGTGCATATGTCTTTTCATATTTTTGCTAGTGTATACATGACATAAATTATTGGAATTAGGATTGCTGAGGAAAATAGGACTAGTTAAAAAACATAAAACTAGCATGGCTATCAAAGTTAATTTTTTCATATACACACTCAATTTCCTTTTGCGATCTTACAGAAAGGAGGCTGTTTATGGACAAATAATCAATATCTAAATAGACAGCATTTTAATACCAGTTTAAAAATAACAGGCAAATCTGGGTTCACATTATTTTCTGTCAAAACAAGGTCATATTCATTAGAATGATGCTGGCTTACTCCAAGAATGGCCTATAACATAGGCTATGAGTATTGAAGGACATTGTAGAGATTCAGTTTGACTTGGTGGTTTTTTTTTTCTTTTTTTTTTTTTTTCTGGAAAAGACAGAATGTCCTGGAATGAAGGGTCAATCTTACATTCTAATAGCATTTTTATCATCCCCATAAGTAGCACTTAAATAAAATATGAGCTTTCTTCATTTCTGATCTACTCTTATGGACACTCAACTTGCTAGCCTGCCTCTTCACACTATTTCTTTTCCAGAAATGGAAAACATCTCATTCCTTTAAAACTCTCAGATTCACAGCAACAGAAGACACTGTGATGACAATAAAAGTACAAGATCATGTATTATTCAGGTGACATTCAAAGGGACACTCCAGCAAAAATATTTCTACCAGCCCACAAATTAGTGGAACAAATTCACCTTTGAGCAACATGCATATTTAGTAGTTTCTCTGTGAACATTTTATTCTTATTCCTCACCTTTATAGCAATAGCTGGGAGCTCTTTCAAATCACATTGTTAATTCTTATACTCGCCCCATAAAGGTTTGGTAGGTGAAAATTATAATACTGAAATATTCCAAATGGAGACAAATGCCCACTATGTCTACCACTCAAGACAGATTAGATTTCAACTTCTTTGTAATGATTAAGACTCAATGCCAAATCTTACAAAAGAAGAAAAAAAAATCCTTTCACCTTTATGTTTTCTTCACATATCCCCACAAGGCTGATATTTCAATGCCTAATAGCTTTCTGTATTATCCTAGGCAAAGGTAGTGAGTGATTAACCATCTTTTTAACATTTAAGTGCTGATAGAATGTAAGAAGTCATCTTCAGTATAACTGTTTTTTTAATTCATTTTTATGCCAACACTTTGCCCTGAATTATTTTATTCAAAGCATGCTAACTAGAAGGCATGAAGTTCTGTGATTAAAAAAGGGCTTGGAGTCTGACCAACAAAGGTTGAATTTAACTCTATTAATACATATGAGTCCCTGCCAAATTACCCAAACTCTCTGCCATTTCATAAATCAAAGGTAATAATGCCTACCTCACAAAATCGAATGATATAACTCAAGATTGAGTTACATAAATGAATGTAAAAGTCCCAACTCTAGGCATCATCACACTTGGTAAGCACTCAATGTGTAAGAATATATCATAGTGTTATTAATATTTGTAATATGAAGACCTGAGAGTTATAGTAGTTTAAAGAACTTGGTTATTCCCCACTGCTGTGCAGTGAAAAATAAACCTTACCCAAAGAGAGGACTGGCCTTTGTTCTTGGCTATTAGGAGGTAATCTCTAGGCCCTTGGAATGTCATACTCGATAAGAATGTCTTTATCCGAGAACCTTGGTCACAGATAGTTTAATGATGGGGCCATATGACATCAGTTCTACCTCTGGAGGAGCACAAAAACAAAAGGTCATCCATATGGGCAATATGTGATCAAGCCCCAATAAAAATTCTGGACACCAAAGCTTAGGTGAGCTTCCCTGGTTGGTAAGATTTCCATACATATTGTCACCATGGATACAAGCAAAGTAATGCTACTCATGACTCCATAGGGAGAGGACAATGAAAGCTCTGCATTTGGTACTTTTTCTGATTTTTGCCCTATGTGCTTCCTCCTTTGGCTGAATTTAATCTGTTTATTTTCCTTGCGGTAAACCATAATCATGAGTTCAGCAGCTTTTGGTGAGTTCTGAGTCATTCTAGCAAATTATTGAATGTGAAAGTGGTTTTTGGATCCCCCGGAATTTGTCATTAGTGTCAGAAGTGAGGGTAGTTGTGTGTGGACTGTGCTCCCTCTAACTTCAATTGGGTAAACTTCTGAATTTTAATTGTGCACTTACAAATTATATGCTTAAAATCTCTGAAACTTGGTCTCCTTGTGGGTACAATGGTGACACTGGTCTGGAGGACTGGTGATGTGCCTTTGCCCTACATTGTATACTCTGCCCTTTGCATAATATGTCTAGTTCCTTAAGCTATGGCCAAACCAATTATTTCCCATGGCATCAACAGAGCCAGCCAGCATATGATCCAGTCATTTAACTTTTCTTTTCTATAAAAATATAACTCTTTAAAAGAAAATTAATATACATTCCTAATGTACTATAATAACTTCTATTTGAAAAACAGGTAAAAAAGAAAAATTGAGAAAGAGATAAGTACAAACACAAACATACAAGTTAAGAAGCTTCTTGATTACTCTTCTGATATTACTTATCCCATTCAGACTTCTTACCTGAGAAGACTTTTTTCTTGTCTTCCATTTTAGAATATCAAAATCCTAGGATTTGGCCTCTCCAAAGTTTCCAGAAGGCTAACTTTGCATACAGTGCTCATACTTTATCTCACTCAGAAACGCTTCCATCAAAAATTTTGACCTCAACAAGGGATCTTTCTGAGGTAAGATGTTCATTTTTCTCTTTCTATTTCCAATTAATTATGAAACTGGGCCTAACATACTTATCTACAGAATACCTTCTTTTTCTCCACATAGAATTTTTTTTTCTAATTCTCTAATGAAAGGCTACACTTGGCTTTCTATATTTTAATACCTTGGTCTCTGTTAAGAAACAAGTAACATCTTCACATCAAAATGAATCTAATTAACCCAGAATTCTCTAAGGGGAGGAGGGTGCTACATGCACCACTTTTCACACTCTTGGAATGAAAACCAAGACACTAAGAGTGAGTAGTTTACACTGAGTCCACATATCCGTAAGTACCCATACCTGCAGGGATTGCTGGAGTGAATGAAAATGCTAACTGGATTCACTGTGTATGACGCTTTATTGTGGATAATACTCTATTGAAAATGGTATACAGTTTACTAAGTATACATACATACCCCAAATTAAAACAGAGGTTTGCACATGGGCCACACATTAGAATCACCTGGGGAGTTTCTAAACAACATGGAGGCTGGGACCCCTTCTCCCAAAGATCCTGTTTGCATTGACCCGGGTTGGGGCCCAGCCTTAGGCATTTATTCACGCTCCCAGGATAAGTGCAGCTAGTGGTAAAAATCATTGCTGTAAAGCACATACAGTGTGTTTGAAGTCAGTTTCTGTCTCCTAAACTAAGAACTTTGTGAGGGCTTATTTCATAGAGCTAAGACCAGGCAAAAGCTAGTCTGAATATTTTTTCCATGCATCTATTCACTGAAAGTTCTTAAGCTTCTCCTTATTGACCCTTGAAATCATTGACCAAGGCACCTCTGCATCTCTGAGCTGTGCACTTGCATCTGAATTCTCTGAGCACTTGTGTTCATGACCATGGTGGCTAAGGGTCTCTAAGCACACCACAAATGGAAAGATTTTTAAAGCTTCTTTCAGGGAGAGGCATCTTCCTCTTGAAGTCAGAAAAGAAAACATCTCATGTTAGTCTTCACCATTCATATTTATACATAAAACAATTCAAATCCTTCCCCATCACAAGCTTGAAACATTAATGTTTAATCTCTTCTCCAAAATATGGAACTTTCTTGTACTCTACATCAGAAAAATTGTTGGGGAGAAAGTGGGGGTGTTGTCAGAGGCTGATCCTTGTGTGCATATAAAAAAGTTCATCTTTTTCCAATTAAGAAAATGTTTCCTTAGCAACTATGCACCTATATTACTCATTCCTCCTACTTTGAAGTTTGTATTTGTCTTCAGTCTTTCCTCTATCCATTAAAACAAAATCCATTCTTCTTCACATTAAGTAGTCATGACTTGATTTCCACGTGTAGAATTTCTCATCCCAAACCCTGAAGAAGTCTAAAATTTGATGATCCAACTCTTTGTACTTGACATTTGTGTGCTATCTTCACTAATTCATTGAGTGATGGAGACTTTGTGGTCCCTATTTGTTTGCTGCTTCTGACTGCTGCATTTGGGTTTCACCTCTATTAATCCTTGGTTTTCCCAAGGGATTTTGCTTTCTCTGTCCTTCTGGCTCTTGGTGTACAGGGCTGTTTCTGTCAGAAAATTATGCTCCTGCCATGGTCTCCCAGAACCCAAGGTGAACCCTATCGCTTGGCTGCCATCCTAGAACAGACAGCCTTCCATTCCAGGGTTGGAACTAGGAAAGAGATTGCAACCAGTGAGAAGACATTTCCTCTGCTACTTCACATCCGTAGACGTTTATGTGAAGCTGACATCACCCCAGCTCCAGAGGTGGTCGTGAGACTCAGGACCAAGCCAGACAGCCCAAAGAGTAAAGTGGTTTATATTTGGGAAAGGGGCAAGACTACCCAGGTTTTACTCTCTGCTTTACCACTTATTAGCTCTGGGACATCATCTTTATATGTCTCACTACCTTCTTCAGTAAAATAGACACAATAATAATGCCTATCGCATGGGAGAAATGCTTAGAACCATGTTTGCCACATATTAAGTGCTTGATAAATAGTTTTCTTTTTTTTTTCCCCAGGGCTTTATTCAGAGATGAGCTAAAGACCAAGTTGAGCCAGTGAGAATGAGAAATCAGACTTCTATGAAGGCTTTTGGAGAAGACTGTCTCTCTTTCCCGCTGACCTTAAATCAGGAAAATGTAGGTCTGAAGCCTACATTTTGGCCTCCTATGGGAACCTGAGCATAAAGCCAACATAAAGAACAGATCAAAAAGATATCAAAGTAACAGCTGCTGGTGACAGGCCTCCTGCTCCTGGGCTTACCAGTTAGCTGAGCCTGAAGCCAAATTGATCCTTGCACTTTTCATTTGCTTGTGACAGTTTAATCCCTTTTTGGTTCTAACCCAGTTGGAATTGGACTTTCTGTCACTTGCAATCAGAAGATCCTAACTGATTCAGGAGTCAAAGATAAAATGTCTTTGGAGCTGATAGCTAAACATTTTCCAGGATTCCTCGACCTGCATTACCAAAGTAATTACTTGTATGGTATGTAAAATCTGGTCCATTCACTACTTCCCACAGCTGGCGAGTACAAGCAGGAAGGGAATTGTATCAATACAACAGGAAATCAAACTCAATTTTGGATGACTTGAAAAAAGTCTGTTTACAAAGAGATTATTATTTTTATTTTTTTATTTATTTTATTTTATTATTATTATACTTTAAGTTTTAGGGTACATGTGCAGAATGTGCAGGTTAGTTACATATGTATACATGTGCCATGCTGGTGTGCTGCACCCATTAACTCGTCATTTAGCATTAGGTATATCTCCCAATGCTATCCCTCCCCCCTCCCCCCACCCCACAACAGTCGCCAGAGTGTGATGTTCCCCTTCCTGTGTCCATGTGTTCTCATTGTTCAATTCCCACCTATGAGTGAGAACATGCGGTGTTTGGTTTTTTTTGTCCTTGCGATAGTTTACTGAGAATGATGATTTCCAATTTCATCCATGTCCCTACAAAGGACATGAACTCATCATTTTTTATGGCTGCACAGTATTCCATGGTGTATATGTGCCACATTTTCTTAATCCAGTCTATCCTTGTTGGACATTTGGGTTGGTTCCAAGTCTTTGCTATTGTGAATAGTGCCACAATAAAGAGATTATTTACAAAGCTATGGAGAACATATCACAGGACTGGGTGCAGGGAAGTTGTTTCTATTCCTAAGCCTGCAGGGATAAGGTGAGATTGAGATTCCAGAAAACTGGAAAAAGAAAACCATATAGAAAAACCCACCTATGAAGAAAACATTGACCTTCAACAGGAATCCTGGAAGTATCAGAAGAAATAAGAGGGGGGGAAATCCATCCTGCTAGGGCTCCTCATTGGCTAAATTGGAAGGGAGATGACAAAGTGCAACATCAAGAAAGGTGCAGGATAGATCTGGAGAGGCAACGGGAAGATCCCAGCCCAAGGACTTGAATGGAACTGTGCTGCTTCTGACTCCCTCCATAATCCCCCAAATTTTAATTTCTACCATATTTGATTCTATAAAATTTTCTGATGAATTCATTGAAAGAGCCAATATTTGGGGCCTACAAAGAATCCAGCATAGTATGTTTTCAACTAACCATACTCTGGAAGACAATGATAAATTTGAAGCTGTCCACAGAAAAACAGTGATCATAAAAATAACTTCAGTAAATGGAAAATTTTTTCACTATAAATTCATTATAAGGGGACTAAATAAAATATTGTATATATGCTAAATTGAATATCATGTAGCCATTCAAAGGATTGGGCTGGATTTATGTATTGATGAGGCTAGGTCTTAAGTATGTTATTATGTGTGAAAGCTAGGTACATAACAATGTATACAGTATGGTATTTTGGGGGGTAAAAACAAGGAATTAAAAAGAATTCTATAAATTGTCACTCTATATTTGAAGTTTTTACTACATACAAGTATTATCATTTTCCAAAAATGAAAAAAAATGAGCAAACTTTTAAAAAACTAAAGACAGACAAGAATCGATTGTAAGTCATTTAAAGATAATTTCTAGATCAGTGATTCTCAAATATAAATGTGTATACAAATTACCAGGGGATCTTGCTAAAATTCAGGTTCTGATTCAGTAGATCTGAGATGGGGCCTGAGATGTTGCATTTCTAACAAGCTTCTAGGTGATGCTAATGCAATGGATCACACTTCCAAGAATTAGACTCTAGACCAAGCATCAGCAAACTTACTGAGTAAGGAATCAGATAGTAGGCCAGGTGCAGTGGTTCACGCCTGTAATCCCAGCACTTTGGGGGGCCAAGGCAGGTGGATCACCTGAGGTCAGGAGTTCAAAACCAGCCTGGCTAACATGGCACAACCCCGTATCTACTAAAAATACAAAAATTAGCTGGGTGTGGTGGCACGTGCCTGTAATCCCAGCTACTCGGGAGGCTGAGTCAGGAGAATCGCTTGAACCCAGGAAGTGGAGGTTGCAATCAGCTGAGATTGCGCCACTGCACTCCAGCCTGGGTGGGTGACAGCGCAAGACTCCATCAAAAAAAAAAAAATCAGATAGTAAATACGTTAGGCTTTGCAGGCTGTATGGTATCTGCCACAACTTTGCCCTTGAAGCACAAAAGCAGACACAGATAACGTGTAAACAAATGGGTTGCAGGCTTGATTTGGTCCACTGCCAGTAGTTTGTTGAACTCTGTTCTAAACAATTAAAAATAGCAATAATGAGTATTTGTTGTGTGCCAGGTCCTCTAAAAAGTACTTGTTATGGATTGAATTGTGTCCCTTCAACCCCCAATATATGTTGAAATCCTAACTCTGATACCTGTGAATGTGACCTTATTTAGAAATACGGTCTTTGTAGATGTAATCAGGTTGAGATTAAGGGTGGATCCTAATCAAATATGACTGGTATCCTTATCAAAACAGGAAAATTTGGACACAAACACAGAGGAAAGATGGCCATGTGAAGACTTAGGCAGAGATTGGAGTTATTATACCACAAGCCAAGGAATTCCTGAGGCAACCAGAAGGTGGAAGAAGCAAGGAAGGATCCTCCCCTAGAGGATTCAGAGAGAACATAGCCCTATCAACACCTTCATTTTGGACTACTGAGCTCCAGAACTGTGAGAGAATAAATTTCCTTTGTTTTAAGCCACCTAATTGGTGGTGCTTTGTTATGGTAGCCCTAGGAAATTGATACAGTACTTAACACAAATTTTTTAATTTAAGGCTTACAAGTACCCTATAAGTCATATACAACTATCATTGTTAGAGTAGGTAGATAGGCAGATAAGAGCAGGGCAGGATAGGACCCCAAATAATGTCAGGTGACCGTCAGGTGATTGTCAGGTAGCTGGTGACAGGGAGGGGAGATTTTCCTAAAAAACAGGAGACATCTTGAGCTTGTGGGCAACAACTTCTCGGTGGCTCATACCTGTAATCCCAGCACTTTGGGAGGCCGAGGTGGGCGGGTCACGAGGTCAGCAGTTTATCAGCCTGGCCAACATGGGGAAACCCCATCTCTACGAAAAATACAACAATTAGCCGGGTGTGGTGGCGAGTGCCTGTATTCCCAGCTACTCCGGAGGCTGAGGCAGGAGAACTGCGTTAAAAAAAAAAAAAAAAAACCTGAGGAATGCCAGGTGTGATGGCTCATGCCTGTAATTCCAGCACTTTGGGAGGCCGAGGCGGGCGGATCACGAGGTCAGGAGATCAAGACCATCCTAGCTAACACGGTGAAACCCCATCTCTACTAAAAATACAAAAAATTAGCCCTGTGTGGTGGTGGGCACCTGTAGTCCCAGCTACTCGGGAGGCTGAGGCAGGAGAATGGCGTGAACCTGGGAGGTGGAGCTTGCAGTGAGCCGAGATCGCGCCACTACACTCCAGCCTAGGCGACAGAGCAAGACTCCATCTCAGAAAAAAAAGAAAGAAAGAAAAAAAAAAGACCCGGGGGGTGGAGGTTGCAGTGAGCCGAGATCGTGCCACTGCACTCCAGCCTGGATGATAGAGCAAGACTCCGTCTCGGGAAAAAAAAACAAAAACAAAAACAAACAAACAAAAATCCCAATAAGAACTTAAAATGGCAGAGTTTGACCTTTCTCTGGGAACATTTCCAGGCATGCACAGTTAAGGGTCACTCATAGTAAAGGGCAAAATGGTGGAGTTTGACCTGTATATGACCTTCCA
This sequence comes from Homo sapiens, assembly GCF_000001405.40. Taxonomy (NCBI): domain Eukaryota; kingdom Metazoa; phylum Chordata; class Mammalia; order Primates; family Hominidae; genus Homo; species Homo sapiens. The sequence continues at coordinate 15,050,594 of NC_000023.11, forward strand.
CTGGGGGCGCTAGATCAGTAAGAGAAAATTGCCCTAAGAGGGCATGTGTATAACTTCTACCACCAAAGGGTGCATGCGGTCCCTCCCAGATACTGGCAAGACCCTGCGCATGGAGCAATTAACCAACAGCCTGACCAGGGAGACATGAGAGGAAGAGACTGGTATTAAAAAAGGAAATAGTACATCTATAAGAGCCCTGAGCCAATGATCAGGCAAGGCACTCAAATCTTTCAATTTGCCCACCTGGTCCCTATCAAGTATACTTTACTCTGCTTCAATAAACTCCCATTTCTGCCTTAAATCTACTTCTGTCTCTTGGCTGAATTCTTTCTCCCAAGAAGATAAGGATCGAGGACTGTGGTGCCCACTTGAACATGCTGCTGGTAACATTATCTCTATTTTAAAGATGAAGAAAACTGAGGCTTAAGGAAGCTGATTTACTCTCTCAAAGACAGGACTACAATTTGAATCTTCTTCGATTCAACAAAGACCACCATTTATCATTTCATTATGTGAGGCATTATTATGGAAAATACAAAGCTGAATGAGATAATAGTGCCTGCCCTTGAGGGCTTCCAGTGACACTCTGACATAGGTCAAAGAGATAGCATGAACTGATTCAGAAAAGGTAGTGGCTTTTCCATGGTCATAGTTTACTAGAGTATTATATTTAAGAAGGACTAGAACTCAGGTTTCCTAACTACTACTCTACTTATCTTTCCCCTGCTTTTCAAACATAAAGGAGATACTGATCCTCTTTTTCTTCAAGATTCCTGAAGCATCCCTTCGTTTTATTACTGTACATGTATTTATATTTCTGTGTTTATGTATTTATATTATACATAAACAAAAACTTAGATCAATTAAATTCCCTCCCCTACTATGGAAGAATGACTGTTAGGTAGTGTTAAGTAGATCAGAAACAACTGCTTTTCTTCAATGTTTTTGATCAGTTTAAAAATTTTCAGAGGTATAGATTTTACCTTTCTTGAATTGAACAGCCCCCTTGCCATTCTTCAACACTGGAATGTCTAATATAATGTGAGCACATAGGTAATTTGAAAATGTCTAGTAGCCACATTTTAAAAATGTTTAAAAATGGGTGAAATCAATTTAAATGATAATATCCAAAATATTATAATTTCAACATGTAGTCTACAAAAACAAATATTACTGAGACATTTTATATTATTTTTTCTTACTCCATTTTCAAAATCTGGTGTGTATTTTGCATTTATAGCACATCTCACTTCAAATTAGCCACTTTGCAAGTACTTGATACCCACATGTGATTGGTGGCTACCTAATTAGACAACATAGCTTCAGCAAGTACTCTGGGTGTACATATCAAGATTCACCATCCCAAATCTGAACATATCTCATCACCTTGCTTAATACTTCGTGGGTCAAAACCACCATTCTCTCTTCCCTGGATTATTTGGAGCACCTCATAATTGGTCTCCTGATTGGATAATTTATAGTGAACAGAAATTTATTTCTTACAGTTCTGGAGGCTGGGAAATCTAAGATTGAGGGGCTGGCATCTTGTGAGGGCCTTCTTGCTGTGTCATCCCATGGTAGAAGGTGGAAGAACAAGAAAGGGCAGAGATTGAACTCATAGCCTCAAGCCTTTTTATAATCAGCATTAATCCATTTGTGAGGATGGAGCCCCCATGACCTAAATACCCCTCATTAGGCTCCACCTCTCAATACTATTGCATTGGAGATTAAATTTCCAACATATGCTTTTTGGGGGAGACATTCACACTATAGCACTCTCCCTCAAATGTTCTCCATTCTCTTCTTCCTCTGTTTCTCAAAAAAAGCTAAGGTTATTCTTCAAGGTGTTTGTACTTACTTATGTTAAAGAACAATTTTCAAAAAATATAATGACTCTCATACAGGTATTAAATGAGCATGTGTTAAAGATTTTATTTAACTCATTAACAATGAGAGAACCAGTAAGATGTCACAGCCAATTCAAAAGTGAATCCAACGGGCACATTTAGAGATCATGGATATTGGGAGAATTTGTAAATGGAGGCAAAATCAGTCTTTTCCTCATTGGGGGAGGGAAGTTAATTAAACCCCCATAGAAAAACTTTATTACATCTCTACAGACCAGCATTATTTTGCATTTCTGTCACTTATATACCACTTAACAGAATTGTGCAATAACTCAAAGGTAAAGAAAGGCATAGAGCCCCATAAAATCAGAATCAAATAACCCAGAAGGGTGTGTTTTAAACCGGTTTCCCTTGGCACCATTGACATTATGAGCTGTATGTATAATTCTTGATTGTAGAGGGGAACTGTCCTGTATGTTGGAGGACGTTGAGAGGCATCCCTGACCTCTACCCACAAGATGCCAATGACACCCCCCACCCAACAGTTTTGACAACCAAAAATATCTCCAGATATCACCAGGTGTCACCTGGAGGACATAACCACCCTCAGTTAGGAGTCATTGCTCTAAACAATGTATAGTTTTCTATTGAAGTACATTTTTTCCCACTCTTATTTCTCTATCTGAAATGTTCCTCTCCCATATCATTTCATGGCTCCCTCACTTTATTCAAGCCTTTGCTCAAATGTCATCTCTCTCAAGAAACTTCTCTTATCACCATGTCTGAAATAGAACCCATTACCCAAACTGTCCTCTGCTTTATTCTTCCACATAGCACATTTCTTTCTCTTAAGCGTTGTTGTTTATTGCCTGGCTTCCCCTCTCTAGAACTTAAGTTCTCTGAGGTCATACACTTGTTGAATTAATGAATCAATTAATACATGAACTGAGAGAACTAAAACAAATGTACAAAATAATTAAAAGTATAAAAACATAGGTGTCATTGACATTGGATTTTCCCTCCTTTTTGCTGAAATAGCCACTTGAAACATGAATAAGAAGTGAACTTCCATGGTGTCAGTTCTTTTGAGTCGGGCCCTCCTTTCCTTCCATGTAACTTGTGACGATTATTGAAGCAAAAATTTCTTAAACAAATTAATCTGAACACCAAAGTTTATTACTCATTAATGAGGAAACTAGCAGATGGAGAATGCCAGTTTGAAATAAAAGCCTTTAGGAGGAATAGACATAGGCTCTATATGAGGGGCTGATTTTGCACACAGCTTGGTTGGTAAGTTATGGCTCTGGTTTCTTTCATATGGTGCTTATCTTATCATAGCCCCAAAGTGGTTATTTCTTTACCAAGTGGCATGGGTTAATATTTTTGGGACAGGATCTTCAGAACCATTTTCCATATTTGCTAAACATGAGCCATTAATCAGAAATAACAGGTAATAAGTGTTATATATCGAGATGTAAACAACACACCAACTATCTGTGGCTATCACTTAGATGTAGCAAGTAACAAGGTTTAATCCCCCAACAAAGAGGCAATTAGTAAATGGAACCAAACAGTAGCTAGCAAATGTCAACCAATATAGACATAGGTCCTGCTTCTCTTCCAAGCAGCTATTAGCAGATTTCTTTAGCAATCAAAGACATTGAACACCCAGTTTGCTTAAATCTTTTTGGAGAAAAACCTTTTCTCTTAGGATTCATTAAATTTTCCAACCACACATCTCCCTCCCTGAACTACTGTGACACCTGTTCATACTGCACACTGGGATGTAATTGGCCTTTATTCTGGTGTAATTGATGATCTATGTTATTAAGTCTGTCTCTGTTTTCCCTCATTAGTAGTGGGACAATTGAAATAGACACTAAGACAGAGGCAAGATTAAGTCATTAGTGGTGCCTCCTCTTTTTACTAACTCAAAGCTGGTTAGTTTGCCCCTCTGTGCAAACTTCATTTATCTTTGAAATGGGGATGACAATGGAACTTACTTGATTGGATTGTGACAACTACTAAAATAAAATGATAACTCTAAACAGTAAGAGCTCAACAAATTTCTTAAAGGTGATTATCCTGCTAATCCATATTATGTCTGAATTAATTATAAAATCACCACCAAAAGATAAGTTTAATAAACTGCTATGAAGGACTTACCTCCTCTGAAAGCCCAATATCAGAACTCCAAACATCTAAAATCCCCTACTTGAGAAATACCATTCTTTACCAAAATGCCATGCCATGGATGTAGTGCTGAGAAGTAAACATAAACAGGAAAATGCTACAATTGCAACATTTTTAATGCAAAGGTGGAGTTACAAATTTAATAGCACATTTCCAAGACTCCTTTAATGAGGAGAATGACTGCCCCTGAATAGTACTGCTCAGACATTTTTAGGTACACTTCCTATGTACTGCAGCTGATACAGCAGTGCTTATGCTCTGCTCATGATACTACTGCCTAGCAGTGACCATTCTCCCAGAACATGCCACAAATCTTGATAGCCATGTCCCCAAAAGACTTTCCTCAGAGAGATCAGGCTTCCCTCAGAGAACACAAAACACTATTTTGCCTTGTGATGGGAGCCTGATATGGTTTAGCTCTGTGTCCCCACCCAAATCTCACCTTGAATTGTAATAATCCCCACATGTCAAGGATGGGACCAGTGGAGATAACTGAATCATGAGAGTGGTTTCCCCCATGCTGTTCTCATGATAGTGAGTGAGTTCTCATGTGATCTAATGGTTTTATAGGGGCTTCCCCCTTCTCTTGGTACTTCTCTCTCCTGGCGCCATGTGAAGAAGGACGTGTTTGCTTCCCCTTCTGCCATGATTGTAAGTTTCCTGGGGCCTCCTCAGCCAGGCAGAACTGTGAGTCAGCCCTGACCCATGCTAAGCAATTGAATTAAATTTTAACAGACACTTTTGAAATGGTCTAACTTTATCTAAATGTTTTATGTTACATGTTAAGTAACTTCTTTCCTTTATAAATTACCCAGTCCCAGGAAGTTTTTTTATAGCAGTGTGAGAATGGACTAATACAATGCCCAAGGGCCTGAGGATACCAGGAACAACAGCTGCCTTCATCTAAAGTAGAGTTGGGTCAAATTCTAACCCACCTCCACCTCTCCTTCCTTTGGCACCCCCATCATCCTAGCTCCCATTGTGCCTCCTTTGGCATCAGAGTGACCCTCCACCATCACTGGCTCTGAATAAATAGCCTTTGGTCCTACCTTCCAGCTACGTGGTCTCACAGGCAATGCCAGCTAAGTCCCAGAAATGTTGGCTGCTAACAGGTTAGGCATTTGCTCTGACTCATGGCATTTGCATTTTCACTGGTAATTTTTGAAGGCAGCCCAGAAATGTTAGACTGAAGACTCTGAAGTAAGAAGATCTTGCTTTAGAAATGATCTTTCCTGAGCCTCAGTTTCTCTAATCCCTAAAAAAGGTAACCCATAAATATATACACCTATTAAGTACCCACAAAAATGAAAAATTATAAAAAAGGGGAATATACTGCTCTCACAGGCTTGTTGAGAAAATTAAATGGGGTTAAAGGTGATAAAATAAATAAAATAAGAAAACACACCACAGATGACCATGTGACACAAATTGAGGAGTATGATGAACACAGATCTTTACACCCAAGGACCAGAAAATTGAAAAGAAAAAAAGAATATTTGGCTAGAAATCTCTAAACTAGTGGTTCTCAAAATTGATCATCAGCATCCCTTAGATCACCAGGCCCTACTCCTGAGTTTCTGATTCAGCAGAGTTTGGGTGGAGCCTGAGAGTCAGCATTACTCACACAGTCCAGGTGCTGCTGAGGTTGCCCATCTGCAGATTACCCTTTAAGAAGCCTTGGTCTACTACAGAACGGGAGAAAATTTTCGCCATCTACCCATCTGACAAAGGGCTAATATCCAGAATCTACAAAGAACTTAAACAAATTTACAAGAAAAAAAACAACCCCATCAAAAAGTGGGCAAAGGATATGAACAGACACTTCTCAAAAGAAGACATTTATGCAGCCAACAGACACATGAAAAAATGCTCATCATCACTGGCCATCAGAGAAATGCAAATCAAAACCACGATACCTAGCTGTGAGATACCATCTCACACCAGTTAGAATGGTGATCATTAAAAAGTCAGGAAATGATAGATGCCAGAGAGGATGTGGAGAAATAGGAATGCTTTTACACTGTTGGTGGGACTGTAAACTAGTTCAACCATTGTGGAAGACAATGTGGCAATTCCTCAAGGATCTAGAACTAGAAATACCATTTGACCCAGCCATCCCATTACTGGGTATATACCCAAAGGATTATAAATCATGCTACTATAAAGACACATGCACATGTATGTTTATTGTGGCACTATTCACAATAGCAAAAACTTGGAACCAACCCAAATGTCCATCAATGATAGACTGGATTAAGAAAATGTGGCACATATACACCATGGAATACTATGCAGCCATAAAAAAGGATGAGTTTATGTCCTTTGCAGGGACATGGATGAAGCTGGAAACCATCATTCTGAGCAAACTATCACAAGGACAGAAAACCAAACACCGCATGTTCTCACTTACAGGTGGGATTTGAACAATGAGAACACTTGGACACAGGGTGGGGAACATCACACACAGGGGCCTATTGTGGGGTAGAGGGCAGGGGGAGGGATAGCATTAGGAGAAATACCTAATATAAATGATGAGTTAATGGGTACAGCAAACATGGCACATGTATACCTATGTAACAAACCTGCACATTGTGCACATGTACCCTAGAACTTAAAGTATAATAATAAAAAAATTTAAAAAAAGAAGCCCTGGTCTAAATTAGTGAGTCTCCATCCTGACTGTACATATCCTTGGAATTGTTTGGGAGTTTGAACATTACTTATGCCTAAGTTCCCCTCCTCAAAGTTTTGGATTTAAGTAGTCTGGGGTGCAGCCTGGACATCAGGATTATTATAGGCCCAGGGAATCTATTATGCATCCAAAATTGAGAATCACTGCTCTCTACCAAGAAGCAGCATGAACTAATTAGTTGATTTTATTGTTACACCATATTCCTGCTAGGCTAGGCCGGCTTTTTCTGTGCATTCACTACACCCACTCCTTAAAATCTTCTGATATCTTAGGACAGTGAACTGAATTATGGGCCACCCTAGACCAAAGGGAGAACAAGCAGATGGACCTACTTATGACACCTACCTAGGTGGCCCCTAGCTAGGTACAGTCACAGCTTAAAATGGTACCAAGTGAATTTTAAGTTCTGGGTATAGGATTTTCCACCCTAAGAATATGTGAAAATCACCTGAGAAACTTTTTTTTTTTGAGGCAAGTTCTTACTATGTTGCCCAGGCTGATCTCAAACTCCTGGGCTCAAGCCAACCCTCCCGTCTCAGTCTGCCAAGTACCTGAGACTATAGGTGCATGCCATTGAGCCCACCATCTGAGAGAATTTTAAGAAAGCCTGATTGATTGATGTGTAACCCACCACCCCAAAGCCAAGGTTTTTAACCTTGGCCATCTGTTGGAATCACCTGGGAACTTAAAAAAAATTACTGGGGTTCCAACCCCAGAGATTCTGATACAATTGGTCTGGGTGTGGCTGGGGCATGGGAACTTGTAAAACCTCCCCAGGGGATTCTAATGTGCAGCCAAGGTTAAGAATGTCTGGTCCAAGACAGGACTCTTCATTACGTATTCACAAGACTCTTCATGAGGTATTTACAACTCCTCTATGTTTTTCAAACCCGCCAGGGATTCTAAAGTACAGGCAGGGCTGAGAACCATTGCTTTAAGTGGGAAGCCAACATAAAACAACAAAATGGCAGTTACAATACTGTTATTATTTTTTAAAGTGCATATTTGCATAGGAAAAAGACTGAAATTATATGCTCCAAAATATGAATAGAATTCTTTTTGAGAGATGGGGTTACAAGTCATTTTTTATTTATGCTTTTCTTGATTTTCTGAAAATTTCTACAATGATTCCTAAAATCAGTGAGAAAAAAAATCCCATAAAAATTGCTTTGTATTCAATACTAGATTATCATAGTAGAAAAATATGTCACCTTATTTTGTCCAAAGTAATGAATCTGTAAGCATACAACTTCATCCATATATCGAATTAAACTCTATAAGCTGATGTCTGTTATTTGATAGAGGAGGCTGGGTTTGTCATCTTTGTCTTTATTAGACCCTAAGAGTTTATTATGTTGATTGTATCCTTCTTCTGCGGTGATTCTTTTAAAAATATTACTTGAAGGCATCCTCAGCCACTTACTGTTAAGGGACTTTGTGACATGACATAAATGTGTGCGTCCTCCAAAGACAGACATTTGCCTCTGAGATCCAGCAGAAGTCACTTCCCAGAAGAGCTCAGTTAATGCAGGGATTTCACAAATGACATTTCCTTTATGTCAACACAACCTCCAGCTTCATTTTCTGAAAGATAATCTAAGCTCTAAACTGAAAGTGGTCAGTGCTGTGAGACTGACTTCAATAAAGATTTGTTTACAGTTTAACATTAAAGGAGTTTGACAGGATAGATTTAAATTGTAGTATTTTTCCCCCACTATTACAAAAACTACTCAATAGGGCGCTCTCTCGCTCTCGCTCTCTCTCTCTCTCTATATATATATATCTCCAGATAGTACAAAGTTTGGATATTTGATTGTTCTAGATAGGTGGAAAATTAATTTCCTTAATCCTGTAAACTTTTTTCCCTTCCATCCTCTTTTATCAAAAAGAATTGGTCACAAACAGTTGTAAACCTTCCATTTTGTACTTAAACTGTATTTAAAAGGAATTAAATGTGCTTGCTCTTACCCCAGGGGTTCACAAATGTTGGCAAACTTTTAAGGAGGTGTTTTTGTTGTTGTTTTGGTTCTTAATATGTAACACAAAAACATCTATATAAAGTTAGGCCATTTCAAAAGTATCTGTTAAAATGTAATTCAATTGCTTAACAAGGGTCACTGACTGTGCCAGTCTGAGACAACTCACAGATCACTGAGACACATCCCTACTTTCAAGGAATTTACAAATTGCAGGGGAGATGTGTATGTTTACACATCACTAAAAATGCAAATCATTAAATTAGAAACCCAAGCAGACCACCATATACAAACAAAATGCTATGTAAACACAGAAAAAAATGGAGAAAATAATGTAAGCCAGAGAGAAACACTGAGCTGCATGGATATGGCTGGCAGCTCTAGAGCTACACCTAAAGGAAAGATTGGATTTCAGCAGTCACAAATGGGAAGAAGGGGTGGAAAGTCATCTCAGTTAGACTGAACAAGGGAAGGAATGGATTACGGATAGAAAAGCTCACGGAATGTTCAGACTTAAGTAGATAGTTGGATGGAGCTTGTATCTAGAGGCATGGGAGGTCTCAGGCCACCTTGTGGGTGGGCTTCAGAAGTGAGGTGGGAAGTTTGAGTGTTAACCTGCAGGCATTGCAGAGCTGCTAAGGGCTTGTTCAAAGACAGGGTGTGACTGAACTTCAGCTGCAGATGTGCTCTGGCAGGAGGCAGGGAGACCCAATAGGAACCTGCTGTAGCAAATGAGTGTGAGGTAATAAGACCCTGGTGATAAGGGCCTGGGCAGGGCAACCTAGGTACAGAATGGCAGACAGAAGCAACCTTGGGGAGGAAGATACTCCTCCAGACCTGCAGGCTGAGCAGATAGATGAGGGGCCAGAAAGAGAAGAGGTGTGTATGATGGTTGAGGTTTTGTACCTGGGCATCTTGGGGACGGAGACACCAGTAACTAGAGGAGAAAGAAGTAGGTTTGGGGGCAGGAAAACAAAGCCACTGAACTCAGTTTTTGATAAGCTATCAGCAATGTTGAACTTAACCTTACCCGTGTGACCCTGGGAAATAGTGCCAGTTAAAGAAACACCCCCACTCCTTTGTGTTTCAGAAACTGGCTTACTGCAAATAACTATCTTTCCCCATATGACTTAGGTAAGGGCCATGGGTGTCTCCTTGTTTACCTGTGAGAAGGCCAGACACAGACCCTGTACATTCCCATTCTTTGTCTCATACATGATTAGCTGAACTGCTTGTTCCACTGATCAATCAAAACCAGAGGCTTGTTAAGCAAGCTTCGGTCCAACTTCTTTCTCACCCCTGGTCCTGAAACTTCGGCTCATTTTCAGTTTGAGCCACCAAATGAGTGAATGAATAAATAAATAAATAAGAAAAAGAAAAACCCTTTTTGCCTAAGCCTTGAGACACTTGCAGACCTTATGGCCAGAGCAGAGCATCCTCCCTATTACAATAGTCCCTTTTTCTGCCTTGCAATAACCCTTTTGAAGAAAGCCTATCCTTACTAAGTCTGAATTTGTTTTTTATTTGACACTATCAAATTGTAACCTCAGACTGCTGGCCTCTCAACTGTCGTTTGCATCAGCTTTGTCTACTAGCAGTTCTACTTCAGGGCTCTACTTGGCCACCAAGGTGCTGCTGATGAGGAAAATATTTGTCTTTTTCCTCTGGATTTGCATATTCTATTCACTTTCCCAGTTCTCCTTCTAGACAGCTCTAATCTCTGAGCAGGCAATACTTTCTCAGTATTGTCCATCAGATCATACCCTTCCAGCTAAATTCACTTGCTCAATCTATAAGGCCAAACTCAAAGTCATACACATAGGCTACATAGGATGCATGATTCTACAGATATCTATCCAACAGAAATAGAATTCAAGAAACAGATGCAAGCTACATATGTAATTTTAAATTTCCTAGTAGCCACATTAAAGAAAGAAAACAGAAAAAGGTAAAAATAATTTTAATAACGTATTTTATTCAACCCAATATATCTAGATTATCAATATAAAATCAATAAATTCTTGAAATATTTTACATTCTTTTTTTTTTCACACTAACTACTCAGAATCCAGTGTATATTTTACACATATAGCCCATCTCAATTTGGGCTAGTACCTATTGTGTTTGACAGTACTGCTATAGATTATGATGTGTGATTTGCATCCATATTGGTCAGAGACTAGCCAACATGCAGAAACCACTCAAGCATTTCAACAGAGGGATTTTAATGCAGGGAATAGGTTATATAGATGTTGAGAGAGCAGAAGCCAAACATATAATAGTGGGGCAACTCATGGATTAACAATGGTAGGAAGCCACCCGTAGGCTGGAAGCACAGAGGAAGGAGGTGGCTTATGAGTGCTCAGGAGTTGGGATCAGCTGGTGGAAACTGAAGCCTTAGTAGATCTATTTAGAAGAATCCATGACTATGGATGACACATGACTATTGCCAGAAAAGCAAGGTGAGGAGGGAGGGGAGAAATACCTTGGCTTCTCCCTCCAGCCCTTCAATCTCCCATCAGTGCCTCCTATTGACCAAATCCAGTTTGGAAGCCATCTGACATGTGACAGACTGGGAAATGCAGTCTGTGGAGTTCAACACCTTTTGATACAGGGAAGAGTAGGAAGAGGCCAAAGAATAGATCCGAGGGCAAACAACAGACCAGCACAGCATTCTCTTATTGCTTACATCTCCCTGCTAGTTATTTTAAACAGATAAGGGTAAATACCTAAGGAGATGTTAACTAGTGTTAAATTTCTGATTGCCAAACACTTGCTAGATGATTTGAATTTTGTTAATAATTTTTATAATAATACTTTTGCCATCAATTTCTTGTGAGGATTAAATAAAGAGAATCTGGCCCAGATGTGGTATTCATTATTATTATTATAAATTAGCAAGTCAAGGAATTCTAGGCAGCTGGATATTAGCAAGTCCCACATCATGACTACAGAGGTAGGCAGCAAGACAGGGAGGGAGCTAGTAAAAATAGGCAGCAAGTCAGTGTTTCAATCCAATGGACCAGTTTCCAGCTTCATTTCTTATAAAAAAGTTATGTTTTGCTATCTAGTTAAGGCAAAAGACTTTGAGTAAGCCATTTAACCTCTCTATCTGAAATGCTAATGCCACCTTCCTAATCGATTATATAATCTGCTTGTCAAGTTAAGATAGATCTATCTATTTACATGTCTTTGAAACACTGGCACCCTCTACAGATGAATGGCACCACCTTTGATTCTACCCTAAAGACTGAGAAAAATACTTTCAAAGATCAAGCTTAGCCCAGACATGTTATCAACTTATCTTTGTCTTTCTCCTTCATAAGTACACTCTGATAAAGAGAGACTATATTGTGATGAGCTCTTCAATCTTAAGTAAAGAAAACCTTAAATACAAAATGTCTTAAGTCGGGTTTCCTAGGAGCAGAACCTAAGACAGAAATGCTTGTGAATGTCATTTATTGAGCAAGTGTTCTCAAGACAAGGGAAGTAAGGGAAGCAGGATGGATTGGAGGAGAAAGCTAAACAAGGATGTGATGGAGATTAAGGTCTGCTTAATCTCAATGAGGAGCACTCATTGAGATTACAAATTTATTTTCATGTTGAGGTAAGTGGGCCAACCATTTGTACACCTGTGTGTGTCAGTCACTGGCCTCTGACTAGTGCCAGGGTTTGAGCATAACCTTCCTGGCCAGATGGCCATTCTTTGGAAGACAATGCTCAGGAGAAGAAAGTCGCTTTGGAAGACAAGCAACCAACACTCACAGCAGCTGGGGACTGGGTGAGCCCATTGGTAAAGGGGGTCTGGGTAGGGCACCAATAGAATCCACTCCTCAAAACATCATCAAATATTCTAATTTTCTTCCATTTTTTTGGTCCCCGAAGTCCACATAACCCTTTGTTTTCACCCTTCCTTTCCCCTGACACTTAAAAAAACCCACCATGAAGTCTTCAATTTTTATTCCATGAAGCAAAAAGGAACTATCTCTATTAATCAACTATTTAATAATATAATATTGATAGCAGCAGGGAGACAGACTCTGGATTAAAACTTAGCATTTGATGGAAATTTTCCTCTCCGCATGCATTTTATCCCGTTTGGTTCACAGTTCCTCGTTGTCAACTATTTGCTCTGTATCCTACAAGGGATATTTCTGTATATCTTTGGGTCAGATTTTTCAACTTGAAAATTTTCACAATGAAGAAGAAATAATTGGATCAGCTATATAGATATAATGCAGAAATAGTAATCACAAGCTTCTCATTTTAGCTTAGGTTCTGCAGCAGTCTACGAGCTATATGTCATAGACCATATGCAATCTGTATGGGTACAATCCCAGGGCAGCAAAAGTAGGGGGAAAAAGGAAGTAAACCAGGACATGAGAAAAGGCAAGAAGAGTGAAGTGTCACCAGGGCTGTGCTGCAGTTGTCACCAGAGCCAATTGTGTGTATCTCTTTCCAAATCCATGTCCAGTGACATCACCTTGATTGTTTAAAATTGGCCATGGTGGAAATATTTATGCCACGGAAATTGGCAAATACTACAAATCAGGGCTTTACTTTTGTCTAGAGAGTCAGTTTTTAAACACTTTCCAAGCATAGCACTGGATATTACCAAGCTGGCCACAGCTTCACAAGAAAATGCAGCTGGTCTGTTCACTGGACAGACTTAATGGAGCAGTCTACCGGTGATGAGGAAGGGAGAAAAGGTTATTTGTTAGCTTCCCCATAATGCCTGTCCCACAGAGCATTAACTTTCCCAGGTCCCATACCCCAAGGTACAGCCCTCAGCTGAGTTCTGAAGTTGTGTGACAAGTCAGGGCTTGTGAGTTCAGTCTGTTTGGACACTGAAGCTGCTCAACGTTTGTGTGATAAGCCCATTCCAGAGCAGTACCCTTACTGTGAATGAGACTGAGGTATTGGGAGATGAAGCAAACAGGAGAGCAGTGGGCCTCTCAATGAAGCACTTCACCAAGGATCAGCAAGGCATAAGAGGCCAAAAGAACGTAAGGAGGTTAATAAATTGGGTGGGATAGATCACCTTTTACTGAGGAATATATTTTAGACAAGAATCTTCACCGAACTTTATGCTGTCTTCAAATAATGCAAAAATAGATGATCAAAATTCTGCTTGGTTGTAGAGAAAGCAGCAGTAGGGGATTCTAAATGTTGAATGACCTTATGAAATTGGATATGTCATATATCACTTCTGGCTTCCCATCTATCTTTTGTTTGACACACACCTGATAGTGCTTACATTTTAACATTAGCATATCCTAATTAATTGTCAAATACCAACAATTGTAATTCAGGGTTGGCTAAACAATGCAAAGAAATTACTTATTCACCTGGAAAGGTCAGCCTAATTATAATAGATAAAGGATTGTACTGTCTCATGTCCCTAGTTAATGTCAGGTACCTGACATTCCACACGTTCAATAAAAATGCGTTAACTCTACCATGTGCCAGACATGCAAGAAATACTAAGAAAATTAGTCCAAGCCTTTACCCTTGAGGAATTCACAATCCCAATGGTGGGAGAGAAAGACATGTAAATAAATCGACTTAATGCAGAGAGATAAGGAGAAGGCATATGCTAATTTGGTGACATATTTTCTCAAATGAGATGGCAAAGCAATGCTTAATGCTCTATACAGAACATGAAATTTATTCTTGTAGGAAGGTATTATGATTGCTTAGCAATTTTGGAAATGGTATTCTCATCCATTTCTTGCAGGGCCTGTACTGCACAGGGAAACACTGGAGCTCAGATGCTGAAGTGCACTCTGGAGCCAACCACATTTCATAGAGTCTGATTGCATATGCAAACAGAACCATTTATTTTGTGCCAAAAACAAGCACTTTCCATGTGTGCACTCAGATTCCTCATAGGCCCCCATGTGTAGGTACTATTATCATTCCTATTTTACAGATGAGGAAACTAAACTTTAAGAAAGAAATGTATGGAAGGTCACATGGTAAGTGGCACAGTGAGTATTTGAACGCAGATCATATTACTCCAAAGTCCACGTGGTCTGGAGTTCAGCTGCCTATTAGTGAACTCTTATTGATCTGTGATGAGATAAGAAGCTTGTGCCACCATGTAAATCAACTATGTCAGTAAGCACATTATTTAATTCATCTAACTTTTTTTGATATGAAGATCTTCTTGATAAGGTAAGCAGTGCACTGATTTACATTCTGATGCAAGCTTCTTATCTTGTCATGAATCAGCACTTTGCATAGTATTATAAGACTCCTAGAAAAACAGCATCTTACATTACTGTAGAGCTTTTCTTCTTTCATATTTATGGAAGAAGAGTATTAAAGTGCACTTGTCTTGAGACAGAAGTAACTCAGAGGACCTCAGCTGCCACTGTAGGGAGTCTGTTCCAAATTTCCATACCTGCTAGTCTTGTTTATTTTTCTTCCTGCCTCTGAAGGAAATACACATTTTAGAGGGAATTGCCAGCCTTAAAATTGGCCTGGGGAGTTTTTTTGTAATGGTATTATTGGCCAAGCTCCTGAATACTTTATCACTATGATCCACCTTCCTGGCTGCTTCAGTGCCCAGGACAACAGAGGTGGTCTGGACCAGCTCTCCCTCTCTGTTGGCACCTGCTAGCATCCATTCCTATACTCAGGAGGTTAATTTTTCCTTTCCTCACATGATTTTCTGCCCTCAATTAAGAAGACATATTTCTAAACCTACACCTACTCTGTGATCCAGTAATTCCAAGAGAAATGAGTGTAAATGCCCAGGAAAGACACTTATAAGAAGGTTTATAACAACTTTATTAATAATAG
The DNA here is from genome assembly GCF_000001405.40 of Homo sapiens. Classification (NCBI taxonomy): domain Eukaryota; kingdom Metazoa; phylum Chordata; class Mammalia; order Primates; family Hominidae; genus Homo; species Homo sapiens. The sequence continues at coordinate 15,066,109 of NC_000023.11, forward strand.
CCCCAAACAGGAAACAACCCAAATGTCCATTAACTGGAGAATGGATATATAAATGGTGGTATTTTAAACACATTCGTACAATGGACTAATATATAGCAATTATAAAGAACAAATTACTGATACGTACACAACATGGATGAATCTCACAGACATAATTGATGCAAGAAGCCATACACAGAATACATATTTTATGATTCTGTTTATATAAAGTTAAAGAATAGGCAAACTGGTCTGTAGTGATAGAAGTTAGAACAGTGGTTACTTTTGGGATGTGTATGTATGGTGGGTACAGATTGGTAGGAACCAAAAAGCCTTCTGGAGGGCTAGAAATGTTCTGTATCTTGACCCGAAAACTTCGATGAAAAGAAACCTTTTTAAAAAAGTACCCATGGAGAATAAATATTTAAAGGATTTTTGAGTTCAGTTAAACTCAAAATGTACACATCAATTGATTCAGCAATTCTGCTTCTAGAAATTTCTCCTAAATAGCCATGATTGTGCACAAAGATACAACATCAACATATTCGCAGAGCCCTGTTTATAATTGGAAAAAATTGGAAATAACCTAAATTTTCCACAATAGGGACTTGGTTAAGGTAATTATGATATGGTCATATAATGAACTACTAGAAAGAAATACAAGTTGAAATTGTAGAGAATATTCAGTGTCATGAAAAATGTTAGCAATATCATGTTGAGTGAAAAGTGGTAGGATCAATCCACTGTTCAAGGAAATAAGAGAAGACACAAACAAATGGAAAAACATTCCATGCTCATGGATAGGAAGAATCAATATCATGAAAATGGCCATAGTGCCCAAAGTAATTTATAGATTCAATGCTATTTCCATTAAACTACCATTGACATTCTTCACAGAATTAGAAAAAAATTTTAAAATTCATCTGGAACCAAAAAAGAGCCCATATAGCCAAGACAATACTAAGCAAAAAGAATAAAGCCGGAGGCATCAAACTACCAGACTTCAAACTATATTACAAGGCCACAGTAACCAAAACAGCATGGTACTGGTACAAAAACAGACACATAGACCAATAGAACAGAATAGAGATCTCAGAAATAAGACCACATATCTACAATGATCTGACCTTCAACAAACCTGACAAAAACAAGCATTGAGGAAAGGATTACCTATTTAATAAATGGTGCTGGGAAAACTGGCTAGCCATATGCAGAAAATTGAAACTGGACCACTTCCTTACACCTTATACAAAAATTAATGCAAGATGGATTAAAGACTTAAATGTAAAACCCAAAACTATAAAAACCCTAGAAGAAAATCTAGGTAATACATTTAGTACATAGGCATGGGCAAAGATTTCATGATGAAAACACCAAAAGCAATTGCAACAAAAGCAAAAATTGACAAATGGGATCTGATTAAACTAAAGAGCTTCTGTGCAGCAAAATAAACTGTCATCAGGGTGAAGAGACAACCTACCTAAAGAGTGGGAGAAAAATTTTGAAATCTATCCATCTGATGGAAGTCTAATATCCAGAATCTACAAGGAACTTAAATTTATAAGAAAAAAAACCATTAAAAAGTAGGCAAAGGACATGAACAGACACTTCTCAAAAGAAGACATTTATGCAGCCAACAAACATATGAAAAAAGCTCAACATCAGAGAAATGCACATCAAAACCACAATGAGATACCATCTCATGCCAGTCAGAATGTTGATTATTAAAAAGTCAAGAAACAGCAGATGCTGGCAAGGCTGTGGAGAAATAGGAATGCTTTTACACTGTTGGTGAGTATGTAAATTAGTTCAACCATTGTGGAAGACAGTGTGGCAATTCCTCAAAGACATAGAACCAGAAATACCATTTGATTACCCAAAATAATATAAATCATCATATTATAAAGATACATGTACACGTATGTTCATTGCAGTACTATTCACAATAGCAAAGACATAAAATCAACCCAAATGCCCCCTGTCAGGGGGTAGGGGGAGGGGGAGCATCAGGATAAATAGCTAATGCATACTGGGCTTAATACCAAGGCAATGGGTTGATAGATGCAGTAAACCACCATGGCACACGTTTACCTATGTAACAAACCTGCACATCCTACACATGGATCCTCGAACTTAAAATTAAATTTTAAAAAGAAGGAAAAAAAAAACCTTTGATAATGAGGTAAGAATATGGGGAAATCTTTTTGAACTTTCAAAAAAAAGTTGGACGAATACAAGGAACATATTCTTAATTACTTATGTGAGAAAAAAAGAGAATACTAAATATAGTTAAAATTTACAAGTATTTAGTTATGTGGTTGATAAAAGTCCTTGAAAAATACAGATCTGTTTTCCTTTTCTGATAAGTTCATGTACAGATACTGATTGCCATGAATGACCGATTTCCAAATGAAAAGGACCAGATAATTGTGTTTGTTCTCTTCTATTTGCCTGTTTTCGTTTTTGTTTTGTCCAGTAGGAACTTGGTTCTTCATGTTTTTCAAAACAAAATGTAAAAAATGAAACAGATTACAAATATGGAAACTAGAAGGAAAAGAAACTAAAAAGAAAAAAAAAAAGATAGAAAACACTGCCACCTGAGGCTCCAGAGGTGCAAATTTGAGGATGAGAAAGATGCTAAAAGATCTCAATAAAAATCCAAATTCAATGATTTGCTGTTGGATTATCACGTGACCCAATAGCTTTTCCCATTCTACTGCCAAGTAGGATACCTGTCTTCTAATAAGGACCCTAAAATATTTCTCTGCTCTTAGAAGTTCATAATAAATCATTATCAAACCACCCATTTCCATTTAGATGACTCCTACCTTAAAATGATGAACTGCTATATAGAGCAAATGCTGACATTTTGGAAGATGAGTGTATTATTTACTTGGTGCTCCCTTATCTTTATCTATTGTGTGGAGATTTAAATAACTCTGACACTTGTAGTCATTAATTCTCTTAGAATCAAGTTTTTCTTAAGAAACTCTGCTGTGTTTTGGAGAAAACATCACTCAGTATTTGGTCTGCCACTCAAAGCCAAGCTGGCTCAAAGCTTATCATCTCCTACCCCTCAGCTACACAGGGCCAAAGGACTTGGAGCAGGGCCTGTTGGCCCAAATCCAGTTGAAAGAAAATATGCCTCACCTCACTCAAAAAAGTTAAGTAACCCCAGCTCATCTTTGATTCTTTCCAGCCTTTCTTATTTCCTACTCTTTTACTCCTTCCTCCCACACAATGGCCTCCTAATCTTTCACTCATTCCTGCCATTCAAACAAGAAAGGTTCTAAAATCATATGTTTATTGTTGACCAATTATGTTTCAGAATAAACAAGATTTCATCCGGCTAAAAAAAAAAAAGAAGGAAAGAAAAGTGGTAGGTTGCAAAGTGGCATGTAAAATATACATCTAGTTTTACTTTAAAAGTTTGCACATACACATACATTGTACGCATATAAAATTTAAAGTGCATGTTATGAATATATGTTTATATTGTCTACAGAAAAACTGGAAGTAGATCTGTCTGCATGTTAAACTCAGGGGTTATAGTATGCATCATGATTTATTTTAATCTTTGGGCTTTTTGAATTTTTCACATATTTTCAACAATGAACATTTGTTACTTATGTTATCAGAAAAACATTAAAAATAAGGTCTGTAGGCTTCTAGCAATGTGAAAATGTAAATGAGGTTATTAGACAAAAACAAATTGCATTATTATTTGTGACAAAATATAAATTCATCAGCCAAATTTCAAATGGTTGAATTAAACCACTCTGAAAGCAGTGATTATATCCTGAGTGACCTCACAGTAGAATATCTTCACCAGTTTTTAATAATAATAAATATATAGCCTGGTGTCAGTAACTCTCCATTATAGGAACCTTGTGCTGAATCAAACACATACTTGAAAAACATCCATGATCCTCCAGTTGCCATCACTTAGTAAACTTCTTGATGGAGTAAAAAAAAATGATCACAACTCAGTTTTAAACCAGGATTTTTTTCTTTTGTCATTTTTACCTCAAATAAGTTGTCAATTACATTGAAGGGAAATTTCACTGCTCTGAAGTTGCACAAAACAGAGGTTTGCTGGTATCAGGAGTTAGGAGTCTGTATTGTCAATTCCTTCCATTCATCACTGAATGCTTACACACCTTAAGAGAGATACCTTTTTTTTCTTTTAAGAAAAAAAAATGGGTATAGGGATATCAGCTCTAGCAACATCAAGTTCCCTGACAGTGTATTTTAACAACTCCAACTTAATTTTCATTGATGCCACAGCATCCTGAAGTTATCAGATAAAACCATGCCTATGTGCTTTGTTACAAAACCCCTATGAGGGATAGCTGTAGGCAGTTGAAATTTTTTCCAGTGGGAGAAAATTAACTATGGTAACTATTTTTATCTACTAACATTATAATTTCATGTTGGCTAAAGCTGCCTATAGCTTTATTGGTAATAGTCAGCTATTAAGGGAATCGTTGAGAATACTCTTTTAGAAGCCCCAATCTCTGTTCTTCCTTTGCCCTCTAAGTAGTCATTAAAAGAAAATTACACAGGCATAGTAAACCAGTTAAAATTTTCAGAGCTTTTTGAGCCATTGCTTTAGCTGCTGGTGGGTGATTTGTTTTAATGTATGTCACCTTTTCTTTTTAATTTTACACAACACTTTCTAGACTGTACACACCCAAAAAAATCCATAACATTGTGATCATTATACTATATTGTGTACTCTACCCTTTAAAGAAAAAATAGACCAAGGATCGCCTAGCTAGCTGCTGTTTTTGTTTTTTGTTTTTTCCCCCCACTCAAAGCCTCTGGGTTGGGCTTTGGGGTGATAAGTGTGGGGGCCTAACTTGATAATTGAAGCTATCTGGGCTGGAGACAATGAGAAGGAATGTGTGGAGGCTACTACTGGCTATCCTACCCTCCCCACACAGGTCTGTGGAGTGTGTGTGTGTGTGTGTGTGTGTGTGTGTGTGTGCATGCGCATATTGTGCATGTTTATGTGTTGGTGAGAATGGGGTGGGGGGACAATGATAAAGGTCTACCAGAAAAGGCTTTGAGATCAATTGGCAGATTGTGATGATTATACTAGAAACTCTGGTCTACCAAAAAATATCTAAATCGGGGGCCAGCAAACGTTGTCTGAGAAGAGCTATTTATTAGTTTCCTAGGGCCGTTATTAACAAACGACCACAAACGTGGTGGTTTAAAACAACAGAAATTTATTTTCCCACAGTTCTGGAGACCATTAAGTCAAAAATCAAACTCAAACTGCTAGAAAATTTTAATTGAACAACATTAAGTTAATATATGATGTAACTTTGTTGAAACATACATCTTATTTGTAAAGATGCACTCAGATGTTTTGTAGTATGCTATTGTTCAACATGATTTTATTTTACTTTATTTTAAAGATAGTGGGCCTTGACTTGAGTCCTAGTCATTATCATTAATGCTAAGTTTCCTTTTTCACAACAAATGTGTTTACAATAATCAGTTCTGTACCATTTTAAGCTAATTAATAGTAAAAAACAAAATACAGTTATGTAAAAAGGCAACTTAACAATTATTTATTGCATATTTACTGTTATAGTTACTGAAAATAAATCCTTTGTTGAGTACAAAAAAATGAAATAATCACATCCCAACTGACCATAGGGCAACAATGGTGATTATCATTAGGATACCTTTTGAGTTTGTTCTACCTGTGCTAGAGAGAGCCATGCAAGGACTCAAGTCTCCTGAGGATTTTCTAATAACTCTACTGGAAAACATTTTCATGGACACACACTCTGACATTACTGGGTAAAAACATATCATTTTTGCCTTAAGTCCTCTTTGGTACATTTCTCTTTAGCCCATGACAATTAAAGTAGTATATTACTAATCTTTACTACGATAATTTGATTATATCAAACAACTTTCAACTTACTAAATAAATTACAAAGCAAGTCTTATTCCATGAAAGTGTTATACATGTAAATTATAACTGCAAGAGATAAGTTCTGGCCTTTTCACTGTTAAACAAGAGCACAGTGTGGTCAGAAGATGGGTCCCATTTTGATGTAGGAATTCCAACCTGGAAACAGATCTGCTTATCAGCCAGCATGTTAAGAGTTAAATATAGTCACTTCTAGTACCAGTGTGATTAGGGACACAAATGCAAATACGGACTGGGCTCATTTATAATGTAATCCTACAGATCAGTGGTCAGTAAATATTTTCTATAAGGGGCCAGAGAATAAATATTTTCCACTTGGTGGGCAAAAGTGTGTCTGTTGCAACTACTCAATTCTGAAAACGTAGTGCAAACACAGTCGCACACAATATGTGTATGAATGAATGAGTATGATTGTGTTCTAATAAAACTTTGTTTACAAAACCAACCACATCCAGGATTTGGCCCATGGCCTGTAATTGACTAACCCCTGATATAGATGATACAGAATGCATTTATATTGCTTTTACAGATGATACTAGAATTGAAAACACACAAATGATTCTTAGGGACCCCAGAGAATATATCTCTGCTAAAGAATTTACTTAATTTTAATATAGTATTTCAAAGTTTCCAATAGTGCTGTGAATAAACTCTGTAATTTTTTTTGTTAATTACCACATTTTCTAACTGGTTTTGGCTAGTTTAAAGCAAAGCTATTGATTGGTGTATGTTAATCTTACATCTAGCTTACTTACTGAACTCTAATGTTATATTAGGGTTTGAGTTGATTGAATTGGCCTTTCTAGGTGAATAATGATATAAACTGTGAATTACGACAGTTTCTTATATTCATACATCTTATTTATTTTTTCTTGTCTAAATGCACTGGCTAGGACCCCCAGAATAATGTTGATTGAGCAGTGAAAACAACCAAACTTATCTTGCTCCTTTTCTTGTTGTGTTTTGCTTAGGTTTTTTCCCATTTTAAGTGACTTTATTACACTTTTCAAAAATTCTTTCACTTCTGCTTTTGATATGAAGCAGGCATAAGAGGCCCACATTTGTCTGGCCTTTGGATTCGAGCCCTAACGCCAGTGACTGTGGCTTATTAAAAATACTGGCACTGAACTACTTAATTTGCTGAAGGGCATATAGAATTTTTAGGCTAAACATAAAATATGAAAAACTCGTTTTTATACAAATCACTAGCAAGGGGTTTGGGGTTTGGCTCAAATAAATCATTAGGGACCATTAGATGATGAGTCAATCAGCACGGCCATCCAGAATGGTCGCCTTTTGGGTTCTCAGTCAGACAGTACTTTAATTTCACAACCAACCCACATTGTAGATGGGGTTTCTTCTGCAAACTTAAGTGCCAATTATTAAAGTATTGTTATCCAGCTCCAAACTTGCCCTTCTGTTTCCTGCTCTGTGATGCTAGGGCTTGAACTCTGCACCACACATTTCTACTTTGCCAGCTGCAGCCTCTTTGGCTCTGTCACTAGCGGTCGCCAGAAGCTGATCGTTAGTCCAGATAAGGGAGAGAGCCTTGGTTTTTCCTGTCCACTTACTGTTTGCTTCCCATGGGCTTCCCGTTGGATTCCTGTTTCATATTGCCATCAACCCAGCCTCACATCTTTACTCTGGCAGTGGCCAGGCCGTCCTTTAACAGCACCTGAAGTCAGTTTTCACTTTTTCAACACATTCAGAGTCAGCCTTATTTTGCTCCACCACCACCCTGAGACACCAGCAACCACCAGGCAGTGTGCCTTTCTCAGGGCTCGGAGTTCTAACTCCATGGGCCCCTTCTCTCCCAGACTTCTAAAATGGTACAATCCTAACCTCTTCTCTTTGTTCCTTCAGAGATAACAGCTGCTTCCCGCAACTACAGTACCTTAGCGTTTTCTCTTTTAACCTTTTCAGTTGTGTAGTTAACACTATACCTAGTTAACAATTCTTCATATTAAATTCTCTCTGTTAAAATTACTGGTGTGATTTCTGTCTCTTGATTGATGCTTATCTACAGAAAAAGACTTCCTAACGGGTCGTGTGGATTCCTGTTAGCTCTAATGCAAGCAGGCTTTTCCTAACATTGCCCCTCTTTTTGAGGATCCTTTTACTTTTTTGAGAACAAAAGGCTATAGCTGAGGATTACAAGTTACCCATGATTAAGACACATACATACATATATATATACACACACATATATATTTATATATACAGGCGGTCCTTGGCTTACTATTTTTCGACTTTATAATGGTGAGAAAGTAATAGACATTCAGTAGAAACCATACCTTTAATTTTGAATTTTGATCTTTTCCCTGGCTCACAATAAGTGGTAGGATTCGTTCTTGCAATGTTGGGCAGTTCCCAGTCAGCCATGTGATCACAAGGATAAACAACCATGAGATAGTCAACACTTTATTATAAAATAAGCTTTGTGTTAGATGATTTTGTCCAAACATAGGCTACTGTAAGTGTTATGGGACATAACCCCATCATAAATCGAGGAGTATCTGTATATACATACATATCTTCTTTTTAAAAATTAGTTTCACTTATACCAGGTTCTTTCTATTGCTTTTACGACTTTTCTGCCTTCTAGAGACCTGAAACTCATGATATTTTATGATGTGCCACTTTTAACAGCAATTGGAAACCAAAACCAGTTTGGGGGCCAAAAATTATCAGTATTTAGAGTATGAAACTCAAAGACCACGTTCACTGAAGTAAGTTTTGTCCACCAGAGAATGTTATTTGAGGAGAGAGGCAAAAATGAAGATTTGGGACAGAACACATTATATTAATGATGAAGAAGGCAAAATGTGGGAAGTGAAAGATTTCTTTTACTCTGTGGAAGAGATCTTATATATATCATTGTCAACATATCTAATAATATATTTAACCTCTGTGTGAAAAAGAAATTATTTTTCTCCCATGGGATCAAGAGTGTGGAGAAGTCATTGAAAACTTTTTAATTATGGTGGGTGAGAGTGAAGCATCACCACCTTGGTGTCTGTTCCTAACTTGCCTCAGGCACCATAGCACAGGATGAAATTTGAAAGTAATAAACTTAACAGTTCTAAATACTTGGCATTGACAGCAGTCAATACATATAATAAGTTTACATTTCTGTAGGAAGCCCAGCATACATTTAAGCTGATGATGGAAGGGGAATTCCCTTTCCCTGTTCACTGATATAACATCTGACCCTATCAACCTGGTATCTCCTAATTTTCAATGTCATAAAGCCTTTAGATGTAAAGGTGGGAGGACTTAGAAAATCAAACAACCTATCCCACCTCCATGAACTGAAGTAAATAACACAATTTAATTTGTATTTGTTAGTTAGTGGTTCACTCAATTCAACAAGCCTTCTAGACAGATAGACATATATATAGATATGTGTGTGTGTACAAAATTTCTGTCTTCTTTCTGTCCATTCATCAATCCATCCATCTATCCATCCCAGACAATGAGCTAGGCACTGAAGAGCCAAGAAACAAGCAAAAAAACTGGTAGCTGTCCTTATCCCTTTGTTCCCTTCCTCACATTTTGCATGCAATTTCAGGAATAAGAGGGAGAGTAAATTCTGAATGGAAACACAAATATTTTACACAAAGTGTTTCAGAGCATTCTATTTCCTGTTTTAAGAGCCACTGTTTAAAGTTCAGGTGAAAGAACAAAAAGGACTTGATTCGCTTTCAAACTTCATGATGTTCCACCCCTCAAAACCTTTAGCTCATGCTTTTAATTGTGCCTAGAATAATCTTCTATGAACCACTGATTTGCCTGGCTAACAGTTATTCATGTCCCAAGATTCTGTCCACCCTGAGTCCCTCTCCTGTGCTGCAATGGTCCTCTCTTATAGCACATTTCACCTAATATTAGAATCATTATTTAAGTGTTCTTTCTCTACCTGTAGATGAAGGCAACGACCTTGTCTGACTTGATTTTATGTCTCCTGTGCTTCTCTCAACACTTGGCACATAATAGGTGCCCAATATATATTTGCTGTTTGGAACAAGCTTGCTGGCAAGTTGGAGATCAAGACATGCAAACATGAGAATGTCATCAGAATTTTCTGCCTGTTCTTCTGTTTTATATACATGTGCCCTCTTTCCTTATCTGGATTTAAAAGTACTTGAGTGGCAGAGCCTACATGTAATATTTGATGTATTCAATTTCTTCCTTCTGTGTCTCTTGCCAGTATCTAGAAAGACACTGAACAAATTTGTGGACTGCATTTTTTAAATGAGACCACCTGGTTGTAAATGTTTTCTTTTCCCAATCATATCCACAGTTGAATACTTTTATTGCCTTAAAGCAAATACCTTTCATTGTATAATGAAACAGACTGTTCAAGGCTCTTTCTCACTCAGTGGTCCAAGCCTTTATTCATACTCAGTTTTGAATTTCAACAGGTTCCCAGAAACAACTGCCAATGTTCCCTCCTGGGATATAGCAATCCTTCAGTGCAGTTTGAAACTGCCAACGTGTGCATGGAGCAGGCTCTTTAGTGTTGAAAAAGTTAGAAATAGAAATGCAATGAGCTGAGTTCAATCAACATTTCTAACTTTTATGTATAATAATGAGTTCATAAGAACTCATATAGTTCCTTTGGCTGCAGGTGGTTTTTCTCCTACATTTTCTTCTCTCAAATTAGCATCACCAGCCAGTACTTTCACAGAAGAGGAAAGGGATAGAAATCCAGCAGCCAGAACAGAATAAATAAGAGCAAGGAGTGTCTCAAGGGGGAAAGTGGAAATATGGTGACTCAGTGGCCTCCTTTCTGCTTGTTAACAGGCTATACAGCAAGCAGGTGGCATAGTCTCACAGGAAACATTTATTGTCAGATGCTCATCTACAAATTCAAGGCAAACCATTTCTACCCCTACTTATATCCCAGAGGGTAGGAAGCAGGTGTAACACACAGCTTTGAATACCAGTGTAGGTCATATAAATTTAATGTATAGTAAAATTGCTTAGAAATAGATTTGGCTATTCTACTCATATTAGCCTGTTCTCACGCTGCTATGAAGAAATACCCGAGATTGGGTAATTTATAAAGGAAAGAGGTTTAATTGACTCACAGTTCCACATGGCTGGGGAGGCCTCAGGAAACTTACAACCACGGCAGAAGGCACCACCTCACAGGGCGGCAGGGAAGAGAATAAGAGCAGAGGGAAAGGGGGAAGCCTCTTATAAAACCATCAGATCTCGTGAGAACTCACTCACTATCACAAGAACAGTATGAGGGAAACCACCCCCCATAATTCAATTATTTCCACCTGGTCCTGCTGTTGACATGTGGGGATTATTACAATTCAAGTTGAGATTTTGGGTGGGGACACAGCCAAACAGTAGTCCTTTGCTACTGGTGTAAAGAAGATAATAAGAATGTAATGCTTAAGAAAAATATTTTGGTGATTTATAAGAACATAGTAGCTTTATTTTGTCTTGAAATATCAAGCATTTTTCAAACATACAGTTAAAGTATAGAAAATCATATACTCTTATAACTACACCAAGATTAAACAAGTAGAATGTTGTACTTTTTTCCTGTCTCTACTTTTACTAAAGTGTTACAGATACAGCTGTAACCACTTGATCTCTTCCCTCTCCTCCTGAAGTTGATATGGTTTGTTTTATGTATGTTTTTAACTTTAACCACATAAGCATAAATCCATAGGTAAATTACATTATTGCTTGTGTGTTTTTAACTTCTTATATAAATGATATAGTGATACATATTGTGTGCCTTGCTTCTTCAACATTTTGTTCTGTAATGTATGCAGACCTAGTTCATGCATCTTCACTATTTACAAGATCTATTTTCTGAATATTACAGTTATCCATTATTTCATGGAGGGAGGATTAGATCATCTCTAATGTTCCACTAAATTATCTCGTGTTTGTTTTATTGTACACATGTGTACAAGTTTTTAGGAATAAAATTACCTAATGTGTATGTTTATCTGAATCTTTATTAACTATTGCAAAAATGTTGCCCAAAGTAAATAAACCAGTTTATAGTCTATCATTAAAGCCTTTGAATTCCTGTTTATGTTCAACTCTTGCCAACATTTGATGTTTTCAGATTTAATTTTTGCCAACCTGAGACTGGCAGAATGATATTTCATTATTGTTTTCATTTGCATTTCTCTGATCATAATTTTCCATATGGTTTATTAGCCACTGTGAATTTTGTTTCTCTGGGTTATCTATTAATGTGATGTGGTTGGGCTCTGTGTCCCCACCCAAATATCATCTTGAATTGTACTCCCATAATTCCCATGTGTTGTGGGAGGGACCCAGTGGGAGATAATTTGAATCATGGGGGCGGCTTCCCCCATACTACTCTCATGGTAGTAAATAAATCTCATGAGATCTGATGGTTTTATCAGGGATTTCTGCTTTTGCATCTTCCTCATTTCCTCTTGCTGCCGCCATGTAAGAAGTGACTTTTGCCTCCTGCCATGATTCTGAGGTCTCCCCAGCCATGTGGAACTGTAAGTCCAATTAAACCCTCTTTTTCTTCCCACTCTTTGGTATGTCTTTATCAGCAGCATGAAAATGGACTAATACATCATGTTTTGCCCATGTTTCTTTTAGGTTATTTGCATTTTAGGCAAAACTTGCCTGTAAAACAATCTGGGCCTGGTGTTCATTTTGTAAATAGATTTTAGATTATTGATTCTATTTCTTTAGTAGTTACATTTTCTTTTATTAAGTCAGTTTTATAACATAAATGTTATGTAAGAAATGAATCACTTTTTCAAAGTTTTCATTTTCCCCTGAATTTGAATGGTATTTTTAGCTGAATATAAAATTATCAATGACAGTTAATTTCTCTAATTATTTTGAAGATATTATTCCAATGTTACTTGGTCTATATTACTGCTGTTGCAAAGTCGACTGTCTGTCTTATTATTGGTATTATGAATAACCTGGCTTTTCTTTTTGACTGCTTCTAAAATGTTCTGTTTGTTTCTTTGTCTGCAGTTTCACTAGATATGTGTAGGTACGGGTTTATTTTATTCTGGATTCACTAGATATGTCTGGATATGGGTTTATTCTACTCAAGACATGTTATATTTTTTAAATTTTAGGAATTATGTCTGTAATCCATTATGAAAAGTTCTCAGCTATTATTCTGCATATATTGCCTCTCTGCCAATCTCTCAATGTCTCTTAACCCCTCTTTCATATTTTACGTCTCTTCATCTCTCCATGAAATTATATTTGGTTACTTTTCAAATGTCTGTTCTTCTTTCATAGTATCTTGTTCTTTTTCTAATTTTTATTGCTTCTTTAGTTTTTAATTAAATATATATTTTTATACTGTCCAATAAATTGTTTTAGTATTGACATTCTTTGAGTTCTAATTATCCTATTTGTTAGGTCTGTGAACTCTTGGCTCATGGTAGGTTTTGTCCTCAATTTTTATCATTAATATTCACTTTTAAAATTATCAATAGTATATCAGTCAAATTTCGGGCAGGAAGAAGATGCTTCATCAAATAGAGTAATTGTGGAGAGTTTAACACAAAATTATTTATAAAGGTATGGCCAGGGCTAAGAGCAGCCAAAAGATGGTAAAACATGGAGCTATTGCTATCCCTAAGCCTGAATGGCACAGGGAGGGAGTGATTATCAGACCCATAACTGAAAGAAAGGGTAGCCTGACAAGACACATGCCTTACTAGAGGAAAGCAGACACTGCCAACCAGTGGCCCTGCATGGATGTAGCTAAGGGAACAAATATCATGATCTTGCTATTCTTCTGTCCCTCAATCTCCTGCATTACCTCCCACTAGCTGAACCCAGTGAGAAGACAGGAAACCCAGGTGACGCAGTAGATAGAGGTTAGTCTGTTGTGGGAAAAGCAGGGTAAAGAAGGATGGAGAGCAAACCTGGAGGGATAATTGGAAAACATTTAACACCATCGTAAACTCACGTTCAGGGGTGGCTTATCTGTTGGAAACCCCTGTTGCTTGGGAGGAGGGCATACCCATCCAGAGCAATTTTATATTTGCTCCTTGCAGATGTCTTAACACTATCACTGGCCTAGACTCAAGTTCTGTGTTAATTTTTCAGCTCAGACATTCCTGATCCCAAACAGTTTAAATTCTAACCGTTAATCATGTGAGACATAGAGCCATAATTATAGAACGGAAAGGGAGACATTTCTGTTTCTACCCAAAACCCATTCATGAGCAGAGAAGTTTCTTTGTTGCCATATGCTAATGGATGGAACTTTTCAACTCTTGGTCTATACATGCAACTCTTTGAGAACCTTGACTTTATGCAAGAATTTTTTTAGGGAGGAGTGTGGGTACAGAGTCTTGCTCTGTTGCCAGGCTGGAGTGCAGTGGCACAATCTCTACTCACTGCAACCTCCGCCTCCCAGGTTCAAGCAATTCTCCTGCCTCAGCCTCCCAAGTAGCTGGGACTACAGACGCGTGCCACCATGCCCAGCTAATTTTTGTACTTTTAGTAGAGACGGGGTTTCACCATGTTGGCCAGGATGGTCTCAATGTCTTGACCTCGTGATCCACCCACGTCTGCCTCCCAAAGTGCTGGGATTACAGACGTGAGTCACCACGTGCAGCTGAATTTTGGCTTTTATTGCCTACCTTTCATAAATTGAAGACCTGTCTCCAGTTCCTGCATGCATGGTAAAACCCAAACTCCTCGCTTACCAAGACTGAAAACCTCCTTAACCACCAGCCAGTAAGATGCTTACCACTCCGGCTATAATTCCCATAATAAGGATACAGGGAAGCATATGAGATCAATTTGTGTTATTTTCATCTATATAACATATTAGGCACTACTAACATTTTGTATAAACATTAACACTGGCATGCTCATTCAATCATATGTCACATGATCATAGCCAGCCCATTAGATAACCTGAAGGACAAAGGGAATATCAAAATGTGGAGGGATTGATCTTTTATTCAGCACTGGCACATTGTGATTTACTGCAATTTATGTACTACCAGATGTCATCAAGTTTTCTTTTATAAAAACAAAAGCTTTAAACTGTAGAATCTTTATAAGGCTTTGTAATAAAATGTAACATTCTGTTTTTACTGTAGAATTTTCTGGTTATCTTATGGCAAAGTACTGAAAATCATTATCAACTTCACGATTTATAATGTATTTTTCTTTCATAAGAAAGTTAGTGTCCTAGTTTTCTGGCAAAGAGTGGCAGTTTTGCATTAACAACAGGGTGGCTGCTAATAGTTGGCTACTTAGAAGATTTAAACAAAATTAACGCACCAATGTGTCTCTCTTCAAAGTACATATTAACATTTTAGCAAAGTGTGCAAAAGTAACTGATTTACCAAAGAGATATTTTATGTAGAAAGCATTTTCAAATAAATGTGTGGAAAAATTTCCAGCATTATGTAACTTTATTACCCCAAATGATGTATCACTTATAAAAAATATTATCATAAACATGTATAGAAAGCATTGACATTAAATATTTTTAAAATGAAAAAGTCTTTAAAATGCAAACGTTTACTGGCTTTTGAACCCATTGAAATATATTTAAAAGCAAAAGTTTCAAAAATTGGCAAGAGCAACTGATTTGTATTATGGAAAATGGAATTAGTAACCAAATTTCAACAAAAATTTTGGCATAAGTGATGAGTGATATTTTTAAAAGTGAAGTTCAGGAATCAGCAGCAGTGGACAATGAAAAAAGTGATGAGTGATATTTTTTAAAGTGAAGTTCAGGAATCAGCAGCAGTGGACAATGAACCCCTTCTTATAAAGTATAGTGATGGCTTTTAGAGTGCAGAGGCTGGTGCTATCACTCTCTGCAGTTGGAGATGTAAGAGGCATATTTTCATGGTTGCCACACCAGTACACGAAGCAAGCCTGTCATGATCTCTGCTAGGTCCAGGGCCACCAAGACAAGTGAAATCATCCCTGCCTTTCATCCAATTGTAAATAAGTTTGCCAGCGCCAGCCTGCCTCAGCATCTTTGATACCTACATCTCATCCCACCTACCCATAGTTGCTGAATGTCGAGGGATATCTGCACTCCAAACAGCCTATGAACAGGCTGAGGGCACATGTTATTGGCCTCTTATTCTCTGGAGAGAAATGGAAGGCTGAAAAGAGGAAAGAAAAAATGCAATTTCACAGATACTTTATTCAGGTAAATTTTTTCAAATGCTTTTCCTTGTACTTCATTAAGCGCTTGGTCTACAACCAAGTTTGATTTGGAAAATGAAAGGCCCGTATGTTCATACAGGTAAAGTTTAAAAAAAAAATACTCTCGTATAGCATATTGGACTGTTTCTCCAAATCCTTGACAAAACATGATGCTAGAAATGAAGAAGTCACCTCTAGTAGAGTGCTTCTGCTAGGAAAATGTTCTGTTTGGTGCCACATCCCAAGGCTGAATTTTTATTATATTGTATCCCACAGGCTATGCTCTAATTGGCTCCCATGCAAATTTCCTAGCTCTAACTTCATTTTGTTGATTAATGATTCCAACTTCCAATTTAATAATCCAATGTGCTGATATGGGACTTAAGAGACATACACAATAGAAAGTCTTGAAAATGTTTGGCATTAATGATGTGCTAAAGTAGTGATTTCCCTTTTATGAAATTATAAGATACTTCTTAATAAGTATATTGGATTTCCTAATACACAACATCTACTCTACCCTCTCCACCATTTTATAAAAGTATTTTGTGACATCTATTTTATTTTGAAAAGTGAATTTATTTCAAATTTATATTTGTAACAATTGCTTAGTTCTTAAGACAATCAAAGATAAATGAAGGTATGTAAAAGCAAGGGCCTAAATTAAAGGACAAGTACACTTATGTTGCTTTCTTTTGTCAGGTATAGCATAGTCTTGGGCTAACTCCATACTATATCATTAACCTAGTAGTATAACTCTGTACTACTATACTGACCCAAAGAGGCCCCATATATTAGTTAATATAATGGTACCTGCTAAAACAAATAAATTTTTGAACTCTCAAAGGCACAAAACTTAGACATTTATTTTTAAATCATGTACAGTCCACTTGATGTCCAAAAGGAAACCTAGGACAGCAGTATAATGATTAAACATGTGGTTTTCATAAAGATATCTCTGGGTTCAAAAACCTCAGTTCTACTAATAACTGTATAGCCTTTGGCATGCCATTTAACCTTCCTGTATCACAGATTGGCAGAGATTCAAGAGAAAAAAAACCTAAATTTAATGTGGGAACCAGGAACAGGAAAAGAACATTAGTGGGGAAACTGGAGAAAGTCACAAAAGACCTGTAGGTTAGTGATATGGTATGGTTCTGTGTGCATCTTGAATTGTACTCCCATAATTCCCACGTGTTGTGGGAGGGACCCAGTGGGAGATAATTTGAATTACGGGGGCAGTTTACCCCATGCTGTTCTCGTGGTAGTGAATAAGTCTCATGAGATCAGATGGTTTTATCAGGGGTTTCCACTTTTGCATCTTCCTCATTTTCTCTTGCCGCTGCCATGTAAGAAGTGCCTTTTGCCTCCTGCCATGATTCTGAGGCCTCCCCAGCCATGTGGAACTGTAAGTCTAATTAAACCCTCTTTTTCTTCCCAGTCTGGGGTATGTCTTTACCAGCAGTTTAAAAATGGACTAATACAGTAAATTGATACCAGTAGAGTGGGGCGTTGCTGAAAAGATACCAAAAAATGTGGAAGTGATGTTGGAACTGGGTAACAGGCAGAGGTTGGGACAGTTTGGAGGGCTCAGAAGAAGACAGGAAAATGTGGGAAAGTTTGGAACTTACTAGAGACTTGTTGAATGGCTTTGACCAAAAGCCTAATAGGGATATGGACAATAAGGTCCAGGCTGAGGTGGTCTCAGATGGAGATAAGGAACTTGTTGGAAACTGGAGCAAAGGTGACTCTTGTTATGTTTTAGCAAAGAGACTGGTGGCATTTTGCACCAGCCCTAGAGATTTGTGGAACTTTGAACTTGAGAAAGATTATTTAGGGTATTTGGTGGAAGAAATTTCTGAGCAGCAAAGCATTCAGGAGGTGACTTGGATGCTATTAAAAGCATTCAGTTTTAAAAGGGAAACAGCAAAAAAGTTTGGAAAATTTGCAGCCTGATAATGCAATAGAAAAGAAAACCCCATTTTCTGAGGAGAAATTCGAGCTGTCTGCAGAAATTTGCATAAGTAACGAGGAGCCAAATGTTAATCCCCAAGAAAATGGGAAAAATTTTTCCAGGGCATGTCAGAGGTCTTCACCTCTGACAGGGCAGCCCCTCCCATTACAGGCCAGGAGGCCTAGGAGAAAATGGTTTTGTGGGCCAGGCCCAGGTTCCCCGTGCTGTGTGCAGCCTAGGGACTTGGAGCCCTGCATCCCAGCTGCTCCAGCTTTGGCTGAAAGGGGCCAACATAGACCTCGGGTTGTGGCTTCAGAGGCTGCAAGCCTCAAGCCTTGGCAACTTCCATGTGGTGTCGAGCCTGTAAGAGCATAGAAGTCAAGAATTGAGGTTTGGGAACCTCCGCCTAGATTTCAGAAGATGTATGGAAACGCCTGGATGCCCGGGCAGAAGTTTGCTGCAGGGGCAGGGCACCCATGGAGAACCTCTGCTAGGGCAGTGTGGAAGGGAAATGTGGGGTGGGAGCCCCCACACAGAGTCCCTACTGGGGCACCACCTAGTGGAGCTGTAAGAAGAGGGCCACCGTCCTCCAGACCCCAGAATGGTAGATCCACCAATAGCCTGCACAGAGCACCTGGAAAAGCCACAGACACTCAATGCCAGCCTGTGAAAGTAGCTGGGAGAGAGGCTGTACCCTGCAAAGCCACAGGGGCGGAGCTGCCCAAGACCATGGGAACCCACCTCTTGCCTCACTGTGACCCAGATGCAAGACATAGCCTCAAAGGAGATCATTTTGGAGCTTTAAGATATGACTGCCCTGTTGGATTTTGGACTTGCATGGGGCCGGTAGCCCCTTTGTTTTGTCCAATTTCCCACATTTGGAATGGCTGTATTTACCCAATGCCTGTATCCCCATTGCATCTAGGAAGTAACTAACTTGCTTTTGATTTTACACACTCATAGGTGGAAGGAACTTGCCTTGTCTCAGATAATACTTTGGACTATGGACTTTTGAGTTAATGCTGAAATGAGTTAAGACTTTGGGAGACTGTTGGGAAGGCATGATTGGTTTTGAAATGTGAGGACATGAGATTTGGAGGGGACAGGGTCAGAATGATATGGTTTGGCTCTTTTTCCCCACCCAAATATCATCTTGAATTTTACCCCCATTATTCCCACATGTCATGGGAGGGACCTGGTGGGAGTTAATTTGAATCATGGGGGTAGTTTCCCACATGCTGTTCTTACGGTAGTGAATAAGTCTCATGAGATCTGATGGTTTTATCAGAGGATTCTGCTTTTGTATCTTCCTCATTTCCTCTTGCCACCACCATGTAAGAAGTGCTTTTCACCTCCGGCCATGATTCTGAGGCCTCCCCAGCCATGTGGAACTGTAGGTCCAATTAAACCTCTTTTTCTTCCCAGTCTCAGGCATGTCTTTACCAGCAGCATGAAAATGAACTAATACGATTAGTTAATAGCTTTGTATCAATGTTAATTTCCTGGTTTTGATAACTGTACCATGGCTATGCAAATATAATCATTAGAGGAAACTGAGCGAAGGTTTCTATACTATTCTATACTGAGAGAAACTCTCTATAGTATTTTAGGAATTCTTCTCTAAGTCTAAAATTATTTAAAGGTAAAAAGTTAAGAAAATTAAAATACCTGTTTGTGAAGCAGCATTTTATCTGACATTGGTATTGTAACCTTGTAGCTATGTTGTGGGGATGGTACCTAACCCATAGCTGCCATTTAAGTCTAATTATCCATTAGTTCACAACAAGCAGTCCCAGTTAATCTGGCAATTCCAAGCTTTGCAGCTCTTATACTCAGACATGGAAAGATCATCAGAATGAATGCAAGAAGGGTGGGCAGTAGAAAATTTGAGAAGAGATGATGGGTAACTTTTGTCCCCTCACAATCCCCCTCCTGAGAGAGGGTACACAGGACACTTAGTTTCTTTCATGGCAGGGATTAGATTTTGTCTTAGTTCATTCATGGCTGCTATAATAAAATATCTTAGATTGGGTTATTTATCAATACGTTATAGAAATTTATTTCCACAGTTTTGGAGGCTGGGAAGTCAGAAATCAAGGCACTGGCAGATTTAGTGTCTGGTGAGGGCTTCTCTCTGATTCCAAGATGGTGCTTGGAATGTTGCTGTGTCCTCATATGGCAGAAGAGATGGAAACACCAGACAGCTCTCTGAAGACTCTTTTATAAGGGCATTAATTCCACTCACAAGGGTAGAATCCTTATGATTTAATCACTTCTCAAAAGGCCCCACTGCTTAATACCATTGCTTAGGATTTAAGTTCCAACATGAATTTTAGAGGGACACATACATTCAAATCCTAGCAGATTTAAACTTGATGTTATCATCATTTACCACAGCAACAGCAAAAACAAACAAAACAAAAAACAAAAAAAATCTCCCTATGGAGACATTTTGAAAAGGCACCTCCATGTTCATAGTTAAAGGTACTTGACATGGCTGATGATTTGTATAGCCCTTTTTCCCCCTTCTCCTTTTGTGGTATCTGCCTTGCATGTGGTGAATACCTGGGCTCTAGAGCACCACGTGAGTTTCTCTGGTGCCATTGTTGTGTGGCTTTTTGCAGAGCAATATGAAGGAAGAGGCAGAAGGAAGTAATTGGTTTATCTGATGTCTTGACAGAAAGACAGATCTATTTTCTGTCTCTGTTGTCCACGTGAGATCTCCAAAATGTATAGTTTTGGTGTGAGATTCACCAGACAGCATATTAAAGACTCCAGGGAGAGTAGAATTTATCAGCACAAAATGAACTGACGTGAAAGGGTGAGTAGAGAAAGGAAGGATGCAGTTAGAATGCAAAGCCAGGCTGGGACATAACTGCTTCTCTAGATCTCAGTGGTTTTTCTTTCTTTTGTGACACTGGAAAATAAAGGGAGTGTTTCCTGTGTAGGCTGTTTCCACTTGGACTGAATGGTGCTTTCCAACTCTAGGAATTGCCTTGAGATTGGTTATTTGGGTCATTATCTGTGCCTCCCAGCTAGAAAACGGGAATGGCAAGAGGACATACTTGGTAGGCCTGTGGAAGAGGTAAATGAATTCACACCTATAAAGAAATTAGAATAGTGCCAGGCACCTTGTAACTCTCAATTAGCTATTTTTGTTCATAATGCTGATACTATTATTGCTATCAGAGCACTATGTGGGGAGGGAGCTTTTCAAGTAGAAAGAATACAAGTTTTGCAGTCAGAACACGTGGGTCTGAATACTAATTCCACCACTCACTAGTTGAGTGATTTTGGTGAAACTAAACTTCAGTGGTCTTAACTGTAAAGGGATAAGAGGATCTTACTTCAGAGACATCAATAAGGTTTATGTGAGAAAAAAAGACAGATTATAATGCTCAGTATAAGGTAACCATTGTTTTTATTAACATTAAATTAGTGACCAGCAGAACTTAGTTATGTTCTGAGTGTGGTCACCTCAAAGGCCACATTTTTGGCCATAGGTCCTTTTCTGTGATGAATGAGTAGATGGCCTTAGACATACCCTGGAATGTTGGAAGTGAAAGGACCTTGAAAATCGTCTGCTTTCCTTGTTTTAAATATCTTAAGCATATTGCTGTTGGGCAGCAAGCCACGCCCAAACTTCACTTAGGTTATCCTTCTAACTCAAGCTTGTGCGATTAGGCTGAATCCAAGCAAGCAAGGACTGGCAAGGTGGTTGAAGTCATTTGGGATAACAGTAATAAGATTTGCCCAGCTGTGTTTGTTTATACAACCTAATCACCCTTATTTAGAGATTGCTATCTGACAGCTTTGAAGTGCACACATGAATGAAAAGTGGAATTAGTACTTTGAACTGGAAGCAAAGATTAGGGCCTTTCTTGTATGATTTTACGCCAGGGTTGGAAAACTACAGCCTCGATGGCCAAATTTGAACCATCTCCTATTTTTGTGAATAAAGTTCTGTTGGAATGCCATCATGCTTATTTGTTTATATATTGCCGGTGACTGCTTTCACACTGTAACACAGTTGTTGAGTAATTGCAGCAGAGAGTGTATGGTCTACAAGGCCTAAAATGTTTACTATCTGGCCCTTTGTAGAAAGGGTGTGGACCCTTGGCCTATGTAGTCTCAGTCCACAAACCAATGTAGTAGATGATGGCATTGTACACAGCACTTGCTCATGTAGGTATCACAGAAGAAAATGTGGACACCGGGCTTAGAGAATTTAGCATAAAAATCATAATTCTCGGGGGTGGAGCCAAGATGGCCAAATAGGAACAGCTCCCAGTGTGAGCGACGCAGAAGATGGGTGATTTCTGCATTTCCAACTGAGGTACCTGGTTCATCTCACTGGGGAGTGCTGCACAGTGGGTGCAGGACAGTGGGTGCAGCACACCGTGCATGAGCTGAAGCAGGGTGAGGCATCACCTCACCCAGCAAGCACAAGGGGTCAAGGAATTCCCTTTCCTAGTCAAAGAAAGGGGTGACAGATGGCACCTGGAAAATCGGGTCACTCCCACCCTAATACTGCGCTTTTCCAATGGGCTTAACAAACGGCACACCAGGAGATTATATCCCACACATAGCTCAGAGGGTCCTATGCCCACAGAGCCTTGCTCATTGCTAGCACAGCAGTCTGAGATCAAACTGCAAGGCGGCAGCGAGGCTGGGGGAGGGGCGCACGCCATTGCCCAGGCTTGAGTAGGTAAACAAAGCAGCCAGGAAGCTCGAACTTGGTGGAGCCCACCACAGCTCAAGCAGGCCTGCCTGCCTGCCTCTGTAGGCTCCACCTCTGGGGGCAGGGCACAGACAAACAAAAGACAGCAATAACCTCTGCAGACTTAAATGTCCCTGTCTGACAGCTTTGAAGAGAGTAGTGGTTCTCCCAGCATGCAGCTTGAGATCTGAGAACAGGCAGACTGCCTCCTCAAGTGGGTCCCTGACCCCCGAGTAGCCTAACTGGGAGGCACCCCCTAGTAGGGGTGGACTGACACCTCACACGGCCGGGTACTCCTCTGAGACAAAACTTCCAGAGGAACGATCAGGCAGCAGGATTTGCGGTTCACCAATATCTCCTGTTCAGCAGCCACCGCTGCTGATACCCAGGCAAAGAGGGTCTGGAGTGGACCTCCAGCAAACTCCAACAGACCTGCAGCTGAAGGTCCTGGCTGTTAGAAGAAAAACTAACAAACAGAAAGGACATCCACACCAAAACCCCATCTGTACGTCACCATGATCAAAGACCAAAGGTAGATAAAATGACAAAAATGGGGAAAAAACAGAGCAGAAAAATCGGAAACTCTAAAAATCAGAGCACCTCTCCTCCTCCAAAGGAATGCAGCTCCTCACCAGCAACAGAATAAAGCTGGACGGAGAATGACTTTGACGAGTTGAGAGAAGAAGGCTTCAGAAGATCAAAGTACTCCGAGCTAAAGGAGGAAGTTCGAACCAATGACAAAGAAGTTAAAAACTTTGGAAAAAAATTAGATGAATGGGTAACTAGAATAACCAATGCAGAGAAGTCCTTAAAGGACCTGATGGAGCTGAAAACCACGACATGAGAACTACGTGACGAATGCACAAGCCTCAGTAACCAATGCGATCAACTGGAAGAAAGGGTATCAGTGATGGAAGACGAAATGAATGAAATGAAGCGTAAAGAGAAGTTTAGAGAAAAAAGAATAAAAAGAAACGAACAAAGCCTCCAAGAAATATGGGACTATGTGAAAAGACCAAATCTACATCTGATTGGTGTACCTGAAAGTGACGGGGAGAATGGAACCAAGTTGGAAGACACTCTGCAGGATATTATCCAGGAGAACTTCCCCAATCTAGCAAGGCAGACCAACATTCAAATTCAGGAAATACAGAGAAAGCCACAAATATACTCCTCGAGAAGAGCAACTCCAACACACATAATTGTCAGATTCACCAAAGTTGAAATGAAGGAAACAATATTAAGGGCAGCCAGAGGGAAAGGTCAGGTTACCCACAAAGGGAAGCCCATCAGACTAACAGTGGATCTCTTGGCAGAAACTCTACAAGCCAGAAGAGAGTGGGGGCCAATATTCAACATTCTTAAAGAAAAGAATTTTCAACCCAGAATTTCATATCCAGCCAAACTAAGCTTCATAAGTGAAGGAGAAATAAAATACTTTACAGACAAGCAAATGCTGAGAGATTTTGTCACCACCAGGCCTGCCCTAAAAGAGCTCCTGAAGGAAGCACTAAACATGGAAAGGAACAACTTGTACCAGCCACTGCAAAAACATGCCAAATTGTAAAGACCATCAAGGCTAGGAAGAAACTGCATCAACTAACGAGTGAAATAACCAGCTAACATCATAACGACAGGATCAAATTCAGACATAACAATACTAATCTTAAATGTAAATGGGCTAAATGCTCCAATGAAAAGGCACAGACTGGCAAATTGGATAAAGAGTCAAGACCCATCAGTGTGCTGTATTCAGGAAACCCATCTCACGTGCAGAGACACACATAAGCTCAAAATAAAGGGATGGAGGAAGATCTACCAAGCAAATGGAAAACAAAAAAAGGCAGGGGTTGCAATCCTAGTCTCGGATAAAACAGACTTTAAACCAACAAAGATCAAAAGAGACAAAGAAGGCCATTACATAATAGTAAAGGGATCAATTCAACAAGAAGAACTAACTATCCTAAATATCAATGCACCCAATACAGGAGCACCCAGATTCATAAAGCAAGTCCTTAGAGACCTACAAAGAGACTTAGACTCCCACACAATACTAATGGGAGACTTTAACACCCCACTGTCAACATTAGACAGATCAATGAGACAGAAAGTTAACAAGGATATCCAGGAATTGAACTCAGCTATGCACCAAGCGGACCTAACAGGCATCTACAGAACTCTCCACCCCAAATCAACAGAATATACATTCTTTTCAGCACCACACCACACCTATTCCAAAATTGACCACATAGTTGGAAGTAAAGCACTCCTCAGCAAACGTAAAAGAACAGAAATTATAACAAACTGTCTCTCAGACCACAGTGCAATCAAACTAGAACTCAGGATTAAGAAACTCACTCCAAACCACTCAACTACATGGAAACTGAACAACCTGCTCCTGAATGACTACTGGGTACATAATAAAATGAAGGCAGAAATAAAGATGTTCTTTGAAACCAACGAGAACAAAGACACAACATACCAGAATCTCTGGGACACATTCAAAGCAGTGTGTAGAGGGAAATTTATAGCACTAAATGCCCACAAGAGAAAGCAGGAAAGATCTAAAATTGACACCCTAACATCACAATTAAAAGAACTAGAGAAGCAAGAGCAAACACATTCAAAAGCTAGCAGAAGGCAAGAAATAACTAAGATCAGAGCAGAACTGAAGGAAATAGAGACACAAAAAACCCTTCAAAAAATCAATGAATCCAGGAGCTGGTTTTCTGAAAAGATCAACAAAATTGATAGACTGCTAGCAAGACTAATAAAGAAGAAAAGAGAGAAGAATCAAATAGATGCAATAAAAAATGACAAAGGGGATATCACCACTGATCCCACAGAAATACAAACTACCATCAGAGAATACTATAAACACCTCTATGCAAATAAACTAGAAAATCTAGAAGAAATGGATAAATTCCTCGACACATACACCCTCCCAAGGCTAAACCGGGAAGAATTTGAATCTCTGAATAGACCAATAACAGGCTCTGAAATTGAGGCAATAATTAATAGCTGATCAACCAAAAAAAGTCCAGGACCAGATGGATTTACAGCCAAATTCTACCAGAGGTACAAGGAGGAGCTGGTACCATTCCTTCTGAAACTATTCCAATCAACAGAAAAAGAGGGAATCCTCCCTCACTCATTTTATGAGGCCAGCATCATCCTGATACCAAAGCCTGGCAGAGACACAACAATAAAAGAGAATTTTAGACCAATATCCTTGATGAACATTGATGCAAAAATCCTCAATAAAATACTGGCAAACCAAATCCAGCAACACATCAAAAAGCTTATCCACCATGATCAAGTGGGCTTCATCCCTGGGATGCAAGGCTGGTTCAATATACGCAAATCAATAAATGTAATCCAGCATATAAACAGAACCAAAGACAAAAACCACATGATTATCTCAATAGATGCAGAAAAGGCCTTTGACAAAATTCAACAGCCCTTCATGCTAAAGACTCTCAATAAATTAGGTATTGATGGGACATATCTCAAAATAATAAGAGCTATCTATGACAAACCCACAGCCAATATCATACTGAATGGGCAAAAACTGGAAGCATTCCCTTTGAAAACTGGCACAAGACAGGGATGCCCTCTCTCACCACTCCTATTCAACATAGTGTTGGAAGTTCTGGCCAGGGCAATCAGGCAGGAGAAGGAAATAAAGGGCATTCAATTAGGAAAAGAGGAAGTCAAATTGTCCCTGTTTGCAGATGACATGATTGTACATCTAGAAAACCCCATCGTCTCAGCCCAAAATCTCCTTAAGCTGATAAGCAACTTCAGCAAAGTCTCAGGATACAAGATCAATGTGCAAAAATCACAAGCATTCTTATACACCAATAACAGACAAACAGAGAGCCAAATCATGAGTGAACTCCCATTCACAATTGCTTCAAAGAGAATAAAATACCTAGGAATCCAACTTACAAGGGATGTGAAGGACCTCTTCAAGGAGAACTACAAACCACTGCTCAATGAAATAAAAGAGGATACAAAGAAATGGAAGAACATTCCATGCTCATGGGTAGGAAGAATCAATATCGTGAAAATGGCCATGCTGCCCAAGGTAATTGATAGATTCAATGCCATCCCCATCAAGCTACCAATGACTTTCTTCACAGAATTGGAAAAAACTACTTTAAAGTTCATATGGAACTAAAAAACAGTCCGCATTGCCAAGTCAATCCTAAGCCAAAAGAACAAAGCTGGAGGCATCACACTACCTGACTTCAAACTATACTACAAGGCTACAGTAACCAAAACAACACGGTACTGGTACCAAAACAGAGATGTAGACCAATGGAACAGAACAGAGCCCTCAGAAATAATGCTGCATATCTACAACTATCTGATCTTTGACAAACCTGAGAAAAACAAGCAATGGGGAAAGGATTGCCTATTTAATAAATGGTGCTGAGAAAACTGGCTAGCCATATGTAGAAAGCTGAAACTGGATCCCTTCCTGAAACCTTATACAAAAATTAATTCAAGGTGGATTAAAGACTTAAATGTTAGACCTAAAACCATAAAAACCCTAGAAGAAAACCTAGGCCATTCAGGACATAGGCATGGGCAAGGACTTCATGTCTAAAACACCAAAAGCAATGGCAACAAAAGCCAAAATTGACAAATGGGATCTAATTAAACTAAAGAGCTTCTGCACAGCAAAAGAAACTACCATCAGAGTGAAAAGGCAACCTACAGAATGGGAGAAAACTTTTGCAACCTACTCATCTGACAAAGGGCTAATATCCAGAATCTACAGTGAACTCCAACAAATTTACAAGAAAAAAACAAACAACCCCATCAAAAAGTGGGCAAAGGATATGAACAGACACTTCTCAAAAGAAGACATTTATGCAGCCAAAAAACACATGAAAAAATGCTCACCATCACTGGCCATCAGAGAAATGCAAATCAAAACCACAATGAGATACCATCTCACACCAGTTAGAATGGCGATCATTAAAAAGTCAGGAAACAACAAGTGCTGGAGAGGATGTGGAGAAATAGGAACGCTTTTACACTGTTGGTGGGACTGTAAACTAGTTCAACCATCGTGGAAGTCGATGTGGCAATTCCTCAGGGATCTAGAACTAGAAATACCATTTGACCCAGCCATCCCATTACTGGGTATATACCCAAAGGATTATAAATCATGCTGCTATAAAGACACAAGCACACATATGTTTGTTGCGGCACTATTCACAACAGCAAAGACTTGGAACCAACTCAAATGTCCAACAAGGATAGACTGGATTAAGAAAATGTGGCACATATACACCATGGAATACTATGCAGCCATAAAAAATGATGAGTTCATGTCCTTTGTAGGGACATGGATGAAGCTGGAAACCATCATGTTCAGCAAACTATCACAAGAACAAAAAACCAAACACTGCATGTTCTCACTCATAGGTGGGAATTGAACAATGAGAACACATGGACACAGGAAAGGGAACATCACACACTGGGGCCTGTTGTGGGGTGGGGGCAGCGGGGAGGGATAGCATTAGGAGATATACCTAATGCTAAATGGCAAGTTAATGGGTGCAGCACACCAACATGGCACATGTATACATATGTAACAAACCTGCACGTTGTGCACATGTACCGTAAAACTTAAAGTATAAAAATAATAAAATAAAATTAAAAAAAAATCAAGGAGTATACAAAAAAATCATAATTCTCAACACTTCTTAAAGAATGAATGTCACTTGGTAATTTTTTCCCTAAGATCCACGCAATAAAAAGAAAATATTAAATCCCTCTAATATGCCTTTCCATTTTTATTATCAAAGAAATATTATGAAGGCAAAATAAATATTTTTGAAATATTTCACACTCCTTGGAAAAAAGATACTATAAAAAAGCAAAGAGAAGTAGGTAAATAGGCCACATGTCATATGCTTCAAAGTAAGATGTCTAATGTCAGTAAAGTTATTTTCTCATAATTCTCTTTGTTATTGAACTTCAAAAAACAATAGAAACTTAAAAGCATAATGGGATAGAGTAAACTCCTGGAAACCACCATGTCAGGAGAAACAGAGTAGATGTTACTTTCACTGTTAGCATCCCCCTACTCAAATGTATACAGAACTTTAAAAAAAACGATTATCATCATCAATTTATCTACGAAAAAGGTAGTTAAATAAAACAACATAATCTCATAAAGCTTTATAAAATGACATCCAAATCATTAGTCTTTCTCAGATAAGCTCTGACTTAGGTGTGAAATTGAGAGCATAGAAACATATTTTTAGCCCTGGAAAGGTGGTCATCATTTTCTCGCCTGATCATGTCGAATCCATCTGGTTTGTGTGACCTGTAGAAAAGCTTTGGTTGTCACTTAGATTGTAAAATGCTGCATTTTATTCTTCAAACTTATTCATATATTAAATTTCCCAATAAGCTGAGAGTCTTAGACAAAAAGAAGAATTTAAACTTACCATCTAGTGTTGTGGCTGAAAATTGGGCTCTGGAGTCAGGCAGGAAGCCCCGGACCACATACAAGGTTTTACGAAGCCAAAGGCCTTAAGACTCAATATCTTCATCTGTAAAATGGGTATAAAATAGTACTATCTCACATGGTTTTTGTGAGGGTTAAATGCGACAAGGCATAAGAAGTGCTTAGAAAAGTACCTGGACAGAGGAGGTGCTCAATACTTTTAACTATTTAATTAAGCATTATCTTTAGCATCATTTTACAGGGTGACCATTAATAGCATGGCCATATTTATAGTAGGAAAAGGTGGAGGAGTGTTTGTGCGTGTGTGTGTGCGTGTGTGCATGTGCATGAAGTGCGGGGGGTCCTCTCTCTAAACAATTCCTCTAATTTTGTTTAATTTTATTGGATTTCTCAGTATTGACTGCACATTGGAATCACTGAGGAGCTTTATATATCCTGATGCCTAAGTCACACCCCAGACAAATTCAGTCGAAATCTGTGAGTGTGGGGGCTGAGGTATCAGATTTTTAAAAGTTCCCAGGTGATCCCATTGTGCAGCCAAGATTCAGAACCACTGATCTAAGGCAACCTTTCTCCTGGAAAGTTAGAGCAATGCTGACATTACAATAACGGCTCTGAACTAAGATACAAAATAGAATCCAACACCTCCATCTTCCCACAAATCCCCTAAAAGAATATATTTTATTTTTAAATCCTGGTTTGCTTCTGAATTTCCCGTCATTGAATGGCCCCACAAAGGTCATGCTAAATTTCTTTTTCTTCCTCATTTCTCATATATACTGAGGTTCCAAATCCCAGTGAATTACACTTCTTGGAATCTCTGAAATCCACCCCTCCATCTCCATTACTTCAGCTTCACTCAAGGTTCAGACTGTTATCTTTTCTGTCTCAGACTGATATGATTATCCTACAATTCATCTCCATGTCCTTGGTGTCTCCCTCTTCAACTTCTCTGCTTGGTTTATGTTCCCCAGAAGCGGATCTAGAGACAAAAATTCAAGGATAAATAGTTCATTATGGAGGTGAAATCAGGAAATACTGGTAGGACAGTGGTTTTAAACCTGGAGGGATAGGGAGTAATTTATTCCCCTAGAGGCATTTGGAAATATCTGGACATGTTTTTGGTCATTACAACTTTGACAGATGGGTGGTGATACTGGCATCTAATGCATAGAGACCAGGGATGTTGCTAAACATTCTACAGTGCACAGCACAGCACCCCCTACCACATCAATCTTGCACAATGAAGTATTATCTAGCACCAGATGTCAATAGTGTCCATGTTGAGAAATTGTATAGTATAGAAGTAGGAAAATGAGACAGAGAAAAGAAAGAATCCAAGTAAAGGTACATTGTCAAGTTAGTTAGCACTGTGGGCAACTGCAGTTAAGTCTTGCTTGGAAACTCTAGGAGACCGTATAGACCACATACTCCAGAATTATCTCACCCAAGGGGTGTGGGATGTTTATCCATCAACCCCTGCAAGTCACTGGTGACTACTGCAGCAGTCAGAGTGTTGGTTGCTTAATTCTTCCATACTGCTAGTTTGCTGCACACTGGTGCAGAGAAAGAATAGGATTTCTTCAGCCAAAAAAGGCCATTGGGCAGTTTATTGGAAGTCTACAATAATAAAGTCCAAAGGGATATGAGTGGGGCAGCATCTACCACAACGCCTTCACATATATGCCAGAGGAGTAATTCTAGAAGCTTAATCAGAATGTTCTTTCTGATTAAGAATGAACAGAATGTTGCTTTTACATAATCTTTAAGATAAAGCTAAATTCTTTAAGATGGTGTACCAGAACCTTCATGATTTAGCCTGTCCATCTCATTGGCCCTGAATCCTCTGTATCAAACAGAATTGGATTTTATAACTCTAGGCTGTACATCTGACTTATTTCTAGAATGGTGATTCTCAATTTGGATGCACATTGGAATTACCTAGGGTACTTTAAGAAATACTGATCCTGGGGTTCTACCCAGAGATTCCAACATAATTGACCTTCGGCATGTCCTCGACACTGACATTCTTTACAGCTCCTCTGGTTATTCTAAGGTACAGCCAAAGTTGAGAAAGAACATACTAGAATGTTTTTCCTAGGGACAGGACTGTGTCATTCATCTTTGTATTTTCCCCATGACCTTCCACAGAGTGAATCCCGTAACAGATACTCAACTGATCTTTATTAAATTAATGTAATAAAAAGAGTGAGAGAAGCAAGGCTTGTGTGAAGAGAGCAAAACTTAGAATCAACATTGGTTGAGCATCTCCTATGAGCTAATATTAATTAGCACTTTACATGCTTTAGTGCTTTGATTCATCACAGCAACATTGTGTTGGTTCTGCTGGGTTTTTTTGTTTTTTGTTTTTGTTTTTGTTTTTCAGAAAAGGAAGATCTGCTGTATTTAGGTTTGTTTTGCTGTGTTTTCTCAGAGTAGAAAGCTGATATTCAGAAGTTAACTCATCCAAGGTTACAGAGCAGAGACGTAACTCAAAACTTGACCTGCCCAACTTCAAAGACCAGGCCCTTTTCAAAACATGATCCTTTCTCAAATAGGAAATGGGAAGTGGGAACCCCATAAGAGCTTGATTTCTTTTTTATTTCACAGCTATGAAAGGTATGTATGCCCAGCAGATTCCTGGAAACAGCAGAGAAGTTGAAACTTTACTGACACTCCATATACTCAAAGACAGAGATTGTACATTGAACATTAGTGCCATGGTACTCAATGAAAAATTAAAAACCACCATCTCCAACAGGAACTAATTTGGCATTACTGAGATGTGACTGTAGGATCTTCAGTGTGACCCAAGTCTTCTTGAGCAATTGCTATCTTAACGGGTTAGGCCATGGCAAATGTAGGGATGACCGAGTAAGAAAGAGGGAGGGCCAATTGCTTTGTGGCTTCAAGCCTGCAAATCAGAAATAATACAAATAAAAGTGTCACCAACCAGAAACAAAATTACAATGATAAGTAGGCTATAGAGTGTGCCTAAATAAACAGGTGATGTTTGCCTTTCTAAACTTTGATAATCTAAATTAAAAACATGATAGTGACTGTTATGCCTCTAGCTCTTCCCATTCCAGAAAAAGATGTTGAGGAAAAAAGTTACAAATCCACACACATGCAATTAAAAAATGGAAGATTTCCATTAGTTTTAACATTAACTTTTTCCCCATTACATCCACAAAAGAAGGAATATTAATGGACAGGATATGAGTAGAATGATTCAAGTAAAAAAATATAAACTCAAAGTGTATTCAGTGAGTTACTAATTTCCAGCTACTGTTCAATACACTTTGTGAAGAAGGCAAACAATGACAGTGTGCTTCCTTTGGTTTTATAGACTTGCGTATTGTGATGATGTACAAATAGAGACTTTGAACAATATAAACACATCCTGGCTATTAACTGTAATACTAGAAATCACTGCTATGCCTTTTAAAGACAAAAATTTCTCCCCGTTCATACTGCTAAGGTTCTCCTCCTACAAAATCTGGGAAACCAAGACTTGACAAATCTGACACTGACCCAGAAATGCTACATTCCATCTCTAAATTTCTGTCTCTTGATTTTCTGACAACCTTTTGATGATGTGTGAAGTATCAAATCTGAAATGTATGGTGGATTTCACAAATGCAGTGATTCTCTCAATTTGGCCCACTTTCAGAGGAATATATCTATACCTGAGAGCTGCAAGAGAACTTGATTTGTATTTGTAATTCAATAATGTTGTGTTTCAGAAGGAAGACAAATATAAAGTTTTGTGTTACTATGATACTGTCATTATGTCGATGAAATGAGAAATGTGATTTTAAAAACGTTAACATGTGACCAAGAAAATGGTAACTCTTGGGTCAATACATAACGATATGTACCATTTCAGCATTAATTTGTCCATCAGAAAATCCTCATGTCTAAGGTTAATTGCCATGTGCTTGCTGGCCTACCATGTGTTTTGAAATTCAAAGTCTTTCTGGCACAGCCATCAATAAATGTTGGATTCCTGAATTAGTCTTTAATTGAAAACCAAACTCCATCCATGTCTCTAGTTATGCCTATATATGGCACCAAAATCAAAAGACCAAAATGCTATGAACAAGCAGTCAAGTCTCTTCCAGCACAAGAGAAACACAGAGAACATTTATCGTAACAGATATGAATAAATTCCCTGCTCAACTGTCTCAGATAAGCAGGCCAAAACTTATTTTACTCTCCAATATGAAAATATCTATTATTAGGAAGTATTTTTTCTATTTTCTCAGTAGGTATTTTAAATTATTTTTTGTTGACAAGATAGATGATAGATAGATAGATAGATGATTGATAGATAGATAGATAGATAGATAGATAGATAGATAGATAGATAGATTTGCAGTAATAATACCAATCAGTCATAAAGTTTAAAAGAATACAGGCTGGGCATGGTGGCTCACGCCTGTAATCCCAGCACTTTGGGAGGCCAAGGCAGGCAGATCACAAAGTCAGGAGTTTGAGACCAGCCTGGCCAATATGGTGAAACCCCGTCTGTACTAAAAATACGAAAATTAGCCAGGCATGGTGGCAGGTGCCTGTAATCCCAGCTACTCGGGAGGCTGAGGCAGGAGAATGGCTTGAACCCAGGAGGTGGAGGTTGCAGTCAGCCAAGATCATGCCACTGCACTCCAGCCTGGGTGATAGAGTGAGACTCCATCAAAAAGAAAGAAAGAAAGAAAAAAAGAAAGAAAGAAAGAAAGAAAGAAAGAAAGAAAGAAAGAAAGAAAGAAAGAAAGAAAGAAAGAGAAAGAAAGAGGAAAGGAAGAAAGAAAGGAAGAAACAAAGAAAGAAAGAAAGAAGAAAGAAAAGAAAGAAAGAGAAAGAAAAAGAAAGAAAGAAGAAAGAAAGAGAAAGAAAGAAAAAGAAAGAAGGAAAGGAAAAGAAAAGAAAAAAGAATACTCAATCTATAGGAAAAAGAGTTTTTTTGTTTTGTTTTGTTTTGTTTGAGACAGAGTCTCACTCTGTCACCCAGGCTGGGGTGCAGTGGTGCAATCTCAGCTCACTGCAACCTCCACATCCCGGGTTCAAGCAATTCTCCTGCCTCAGCCTCCCGAGTAGCTGGGACTACAGGTGCGCACCACCATGCTCGGCTAATTTTTGTATTTTTTTTAGTAGAGATGGGGTTTCACCATGTTGGCCAGGCTGGACTCGAACTCTTGACCTCATGATCCGCCCACCGCAGCCTACCAAAGTGCTGGGATTACAGGTGTGAGCCACCACACCTGGTGAGAAAGAGTTTTGAATCACATTTTTGGAAAGTGAATTTTATAAGGAAATGTGAGTATGAATTCAACAATCACTTTTTTCGTTTGTGACATGATTTGAATAGAAAAACTTATGATTCTAGCTCAATATAATCTATAGGAAGGAAAACAGAACATTCAAAGTTGATCATTTGGGAACACTCATAATCAATGAAAAAGGGAAATATAGAATCAGCAAGGCATTCAGAAAAAGAAATTGAGAAGCAATGCAGATATGCTTTTGGGTCACACTACCTACCTGGGAGTTTTGTGAAGAGGACAGGGCTTTTTTTTTTTTTTAAGTTTTTTTTCTTTTATTATTATACTTTAAGTTTTAGGGTGCATGTGCACAATGTGCAGGTTAGTTACATATGTATACATGTGCCATGCTGGTGTGCTGCACCCACTAACTCGTCATCTAGCATTAGGTATATCTCCTAATGCTATCCCTCCCCCCTCCCCCCACCCCACAACAGTCCCCAGAGTGTGATGTTCCCCTTCCTGTGTCCATGTGATCTCATTGTTCAATTCCCACCTATGAGTGAGAATATGCGGTGTTTGATTTTTTGTTCTTGCGATAGTTTACTGAGAATGGTGATTCTCAAGGACCCACATCGTCTCACTCCTTGCTTTCTCTTCAACTCTTGTTCTCTCCCTTAACTGGCAAATCTTTATCTTGTCGGCTTGGGAGTAAACCTAGCTCTGTCTTACCACAATTCATTTTTTGTCTGTGCTTTGGGTTCTCTCTGCACTGAAGCTTATGAAACTCATTTTTTTTTCTGCCCCTTCTCTCTCCCTGACCCACCCCATGGTAACATCCTTTTTCTATATGACATAGCCCAGATGATCTAGAAGGCCAAAGAGGATAAGGAATATGCATTTTTTAAAAAGGGAAGAGGCTTGGAGTGCCAAGCACAATTGCCTCTGCTAACTCCCACCCATGGACATCTGTCCATAGCTTCATCCTGACCCCATGCAAAATCTGTGAGATTCACTGGACACCAGTGCTCTCTCTCTGGCTATGTACTTGGTAGTGGGAAAAATTATTCCCCTGTAAAAGTGTATGGATGTATTTATTTATTGCTCTTTGCTGAGGTATAACACATGTACAGTAAGCTGTGTAAAGTATACAAAAGGGTACCATTCAAAGGAGTTTTACAAGCGTATACACCTGTGTAACCACCCAGATCAAGATCTAGAACATTTCTAGCACCCCAGGAGGCTCCTTCATGCCTCCTCCTTGTCAATGGCCCACTCCCCCACCCTCACTCCATAACAATAACTGCTCTTCTAATTTCCATCACCATCAGTTTTTGGTTTTTTTTTTTTTTGAGATGGAGTTTCACTCTTGTTGCCCAGGCTGGAGTGCAATGGCACGATCTCGGCTCACCGCAACCTCCACTTCCCAGGTTCAGGCAATTCTCCTGCCTCAGCCTCCTGAGTAGCTGAGATTACGGGCATGTGCCACCACGCCTGGCTAATTTTTGTATTTTTAGTAGAGACGCGGTTTCTCCATGTTGGTCAGGCTGGTCTCAAACTCCTGACCTCAGGTGATCCGCTTGTCTCAATCTCCCAAAGTACTAGGATTACAGGCGTGAGCCACCACAACCCGCCAGTTATTTTTAATTCTTTATCATGTACAGCATGCACCCTCTGTGTCTGGCTTCCTTCATTCACCAAAGTACGTGGGAGAGTTATCCCTTGTGCTGCATATATCAGCAGTTTTCTTTTCATTGCTGTAGAGTATTCCATTGTATGAATATGCCACACTTTAGTTTCCTTTCTACTATTGATGGACATTTGGGTGTTCCAAGTTGGGGCTGCTATGAATAAAGATGCTATAAACTTTTTTGGTCATGTCTGTTGATGGACATAAATTCTCATTTCTCTTACATGTAAACCTAGGAGTGTAGTATTGCTGGGTCATAGGGTAGGCATTTGTTTAGAGTTAGTGGACACTAAACATCTCCCTTTTGAGAAGTTCAGATATACTTTGTAGCAATGGGTTAAATATCTTTATAAACCTGAGTCATTTGACTTCATAATGTGATTGCTGACAGCAAAAACTTCGATAATTACCTAGAAAATCATTGAATAGAAGCTAGGCGGAAATACCATACATGTTTCTCCCAGAAAGTAAGCTCTGTTTATTTTCAGCTAATGGTATGCATCTATAGGTTTAACCCCACAGAGAAAAATTAGAATCTTAAGCACTGGGGATTTTATCCTCCCCAAATTGCAGCCAAATTATGCAGTGTACCAAGCTTATGAACAAGTCTCATCTACTTGCCAGTTCACCAAGACATTTAATTAGCTCTTTCTATTCTCATTGCCCCATTCCTTCTGGATATACATAAGTAATAAAATAAATAAATTAAACATTCTTTAATATTCATTTTGCAAAAGTGTCATTCAGCCTGCAATTAAGTGAGTGATTATATATAAGGCTGGCCAGTTTATACATATTTAAAACTTCCCCCCAAATCAATCATGTTTTTGTAACATGGAGTACAGATATGCTTACACTGCTGTCCTGTTTACATATGTTTTTAGGTCTCTGTAATTCTATGTTGGATTGTGGAAGGAAGGAAGGAAGGAAGGAAGATTTATAGAAGAAAAAAGAAAGAATCCATTTTTCTAGGTAGTAATTACACACGTTCCATTTCAGGCTGCCTCCACCCTCTTTCTACCAATAGATTTTGGCACATTGTGACCAGAATAGCCTCCCTATGAGTTCTAAAAATATCTCTAGATGGATATTGTTTAACTCAAAATACAGAAGCAACAGATCAATGGATGAAAGAAATACTTAAATTCTTAACTAAACAAAATACTTAAATTCTAAATATCCACCCAGGGAAAAGTAAGAAAACATTTCTAGGTAGAGGAGGTATACATTTTTGCTGGATCACACTATTTAGTAGGTGAGGAAATGCAGAGGCTGATAGAAATAAGGGTTTCATAGAGGAGAAGCTTCACAACATTGGTCTGGGCAAGGATTTTTTTTCCAATATGACCACAAACGCACAGGCAACAGAAGCAAAAATAGACAAATGGGATGGCATCAAACTGTAAAGTGTCTGCACAGCAAAGGAATCAATTGGAAACCATCATTCTCAGCACTCTAACACAGGAACAGGAAACTGAACACCGCATGTTCTCACTCATAAGTGGGAATTGAACAATGAGAACACATGGACACAGGGAGGGGAACATCACATACCGGGGGCCTGTTGGGGGGTGGGGGGGGCTAGGGGAGGGATAGCATTAGGAGAAATATCTAACGTAGATGACAGGTTGATGGGTGCAGCAAACCGCCATGGCACATGTATACCCATGTAACAAACCTGCACGTTCTGCGCATGTATCCCAGAACTTAAAGTATAATAATAATAATAAAAAGAGACCCACAGAATGGAAGAAAATATTTACAAATCATACATTTAATAAAGAATCAATATTCAAAATATATGAGGAACTCAACTCAATAGCAAGGAAACAAATAGCTTTATTTAAAATGGGCAAAGGACCTGAACAGACATTTCTAAAAGGAAGGCATAAAAATGGCCAACAGGCACATGAAAAAATGCTCAGCATCACTACTCATTGGGGAAATGCAAATTAAAACCACAATGCGATATCATCTCACACCTGTTAGAATGGCTTTTATCAAAAAGATGAAATATAAGTGTTGGTGAGGGTTAGGAGAAAAGGGAACCCTTGCATACTGTTGGCGGGAATGTAAGTTAATACAGCCATTATGTAAAATGGTGTAGAGATTTCTCAAAAAACTAAAAATAAAACTACCATATGATCCAGTATCCCACCTCTGGGTACCTATCAAAAGGAATTGATATCAGTGTGCTGAAGAGGTATCTGCATTCCCATGTTCATAGCATTATTCACAATAGCCAAGATGTGAAATCAACCTAGGCATTCCTCATCAAATGAATGGATAAAGAAAATGTGGTAAAAATGCACAATGGAATACTGTTCAGCCTTAAAAAGGGGAACAATACTGTTATTTGCAACAACATGGATGAATCTAGAGGACATTATGCTAAATGAAATAAACCAGGCACAGAAAGACAAATCCCTTATAATCTCACTTACATGTGGAATCTAAAAAAGTTGAACTCACAGAGCTAGACTCCGTCTCAAACAAAAAAAAGAAAGAAATAGAAAGTAGAATGATGGTTACAGAGGCTGGAGGGGTCAGGAAGAAGGGAAAGGGCAGCTGTGTAATCAAAGGTGCAAAGTTTCAGAAAGACAGGAGGAATAAGTTTTGAGATCTATTGCATGGCAGGGTGATCATAGCCAATAATAATATATTGTATATTTCAAAATAAGAGAGTAAAGTTCAAATGTCTCACCATAAAAATGATAGGTAAATGATGTGATGTATATGCTAATTAGCTTGATTTAATTATTCCACATTGTATACACATATCAAAACAACACATTGTACAGATATAACAAATTATGTTAAACAGATGACAACTTTGATCACAAAGAAAAGAAACAAATAAAAACCTTTAATTTACCCTTTAATTCTACCTCTTACATTTTTACTTTTTATTGTCACAATTTATATCTTTTTACATCGCTTTCTCTTAACAGGTTTCTGCTATTATTATTTTGATAGATTTCTAATCTAATCATATATATGTGTATATATTTGTCATCTAATCATTTATATATATGATGTGTAATCCACTCATCATTTAGGGTATTAGAGTAATTCTAAATTTGTTTGTGTACTTTTAGCTGAGTTTGACACCTTTGAATATCTTTTTGCATGTTAGTGTCCTTTTCTTCCAGTGAAAGAACTCCCCTGATAATTCAACAGAGGTTCTTTTCTATTTCCTTAAGCGTCAGAGGGTCTTAGAAATAAAGGGAAAAAGTAAAAAAGAGAGAAATTTTAAAGCTGGGTTTCTGGGGGAGACATCACATGTCAGCAGGTTCCGTGATGCCCCCTGAGCCGTAAAACCAGCAAGTTTTTATTTGCGGTTTTCAAAGGGAAGGGACTGTATGAATAGGGTGTGGGTCACAGAGATCACATGCTTCAAGGGCAACAAAAGATCACAAGGCAGAAGGTCAGGGCGAGATCACAAGGTCAGGGCAAAACTAGAATTGCTAATGAAGGTCCATGCCCCACTGGGCACATATTGTCATTGATAAACATATTAACAGGGTTCGAGAGCAGAGAACCGGTCTGACTGGAATTCACCAGGCTGGAATTTCCTAATCCTAGCAAGCCTGGGGGCGCTGCAGGAGGCCAGGGCATGTTTCATCCCTTATCTGCAACTGCATAAGGCAGACTCCCCAGAGCAGCCATTCTAGAGGCCACCCCCACCCCCCAACCCCGGGAATGCATTCTTTTCCCAGGGCTGTTAATTATTAATATTCCTTACTGGGGAAAGAATTCAGCGATATTTCTCTTACCCATTTTCGGTAATAAGAGAAATATGGCTCTGTCCTGCCTGGCCCACAGGCAGCCAGACTTTAAGGTTATCTCCCTTGTTCCCTGAAAATCACTGTTATCCTGTTCTTAAGGTGCCCAGATTTCATATTGTTCAAACACACATGCTTTAGGAACAATTTGTGCAGTTAACACAATCATCACAGGGTCCTGAGGCGGCATACATCCTCAGCTTACGAAGATGACAGAATTAAGAGATTAAAGTAAAGACAGGCATAGGAAATTATAAGAGTATTGATGGGGGAAGTGATAAATATCCATGAAATCTTCACAATTTATGTTCTTCTGTCACGGCTTCAGCAGGTCCCTCCGTTCAGGGTCCCTGACTTCCCGCAACACCTTTAGCATTTCTTGTAAGGCTGGTCTAGTGATGAATTCCCTCACCTTTTGTTTGTCTGAGAAAGACTATCTTTCCTTCATGTTTGATGGAAAGCTTTGCTGGGTAAGTATTCTTGGATGACAGTTTTTTTTTCTTCGGCACTTTGAATATGTTATCCCGCTCCCTCCTGGGCTGCATATTTCTGCTGAGACTACTGTCGGCTGATGAATTGGAGCTCCTTATAGGTTATTTGCTTCTTTTCTCTTGCTGCTTTTAGGATCCTCTCTTTGTCATTGACCTTTGAAAGTTTGAATATTGTAATGCCTTGGGTTAGTCTTGTTTGACTTGAATCTTCTTCGTGATCTCTAACCTTCCTGTGCCTGAATATTTTTACTTTTCTCTATATTTGGAAAGTTTTCATTTACTGGTTTTTGAGAAAAAGATATCTTTTGCTTGTTCTCAAGTCCCTCTTGAATGCCAATAATTCTTAGATTTGCTCCTTTCAGGTTTTTATCTACATCTTGTAAGTGTTCTTCATTCCTTTTTATTCTTTTTTCTTTTTTTATCCTCTGACTGTATATTTTCAAATATCTTCTCTTTGAACTCACTGATTCTTTCTTCTGTTACGTTTTGCTGTTGAGAGCCTGTAATGCATTTTTCAGTTTAGCAAATGTACTTCTAAAATCCAGGATTTTTGTTTGATTTTTAAAAATTATTTCAATCTCTTTGTTAAATTTTTTCTGATAAATTTCAGATGCTTTTTGATGTTATCTTGGAGTTCACTGAGTTTCCTTAGAACTTCTAGTTTGAATTCTGGATCTAAGAGCTCACACATTGCCATCTTGTTAGGATCAGTCACTGGCCCCTTGTTTTGTTCATCTGGGGAGGGCATGGTTCCCTGTTTGCCACTGTTTCCTGTGGATGTATGTTTATGTTTTCATATTGAAAGATTAGTTATTTTTTCTAGTATTTGCTGTCTGGCTTGTTTTATTCTTTCTTGGGTATGTTTGCTTAGAGGTTCCTTGCAATATGCCTGTTGAGTCCTCTTAATCTTAATGCCTCCTTTTTGGCACTAGATGGTGCCTTACACCATGGCTTGCCTCAGCTCTCCCACATGTAGGGAGTTCTGCCCATCTCTGATTGAAGTGGGTGTCCCAAAGGATACCCCAGCTGTGTGGGAAGCCTAGCTAGAGGTTCATATCCATAAGGCCCACAGAACATGCTTCCTACAGTATGATGCTGCTGACCAGCCACTCTGATTTGATATCTCCTTTGGCTGAGATAAAACACAGGGTTTTATAGGCTGTGTTTGCTGGTTAAGCCTCCCCTCTGTGTCTCTAGGTGCTCTCAGAAGTTTTTCTCCATACAGGCACTCATGATGCTTCCTGTGGTTTGAGGCAGGGATGGTTTTCTCGCAAAAGAAACTAAGATGGTGGGGAAGCTGGATGTATGCCTATATCTTACTTTTTTCTGTGTAGAAACTGTGAGTCCAGAAGGAATTTTTTGCAGCAGTGCCTGGCAGGTTTGGGGAGGGACATTGAGAAGTCTATTTCTTTTAACATATGCTCAAAGTTTTACACTTCTCTGTGGTTCCAGGGATTGCCTTAGCCTCAAAATTGAGTTCTGGAATATTACTGGTGATAATCTTGTTGTCAGATATTGTTTTTGGTTTTCTATGTGAAAGAGTGAAGCTATATTGGTTCTACTCTCCCATTTTGGTCAAATGTTTCCTGTGTTTTTACAAATTGAAGGTTTGTGGCCACTCTGCATTGAGCAAGTCTATCAGCACCATTTTTCTAATAGCATGGGATCATTTCATGTCTCTGTGTTACATTTTGATAATTCTCACAATATTTCAAACTTTTTCATTGTTATTGTCTCTGTTATGGTGAACTGTGATCAGTGATCTTTGAAGTTACTATTGTAAATGTTTTGGGGTACCATAAGCCACAC
Organism: Homo sapiens; assembly: GCF_000001405.40. Classification (NCBI taxonomy): domain Eukaryota; kingdom Metazoa; phylum Chordata; class Mammalia; order Primates; family Hominidae; genus Homo; species Homo sapiens. Next base: position 15,108,420 of record NC_000023.11, read on the forward strand.
CTATAGAAGACAGTGAACTTAATCAATGTTTCGTGTGTGTTCTAACTGCTACACTGATAAGCCATTCCATTTCTCCCCCTCTCCTCAGGTCTTCCTGTTCCCTGAGACACAACAATATTGAAATTTGGACAGTTAATAAGCCTATGATGACCTCTAAGTTTTCAAGGGAAAGGAAGAGTCACATGTCTATCACTTTAAATCAACAGCTAAAATGGATTAAGCTTCATGAGAAAGGCACGTTGAAAGCCAAGATAGATAGACCAAAAGCTAAACCTCTTGCACCAGTTAACCAAGTTGTGAATGCAAAGGAAAAATTCTTGAAGGAAATTAAAAGTGCTACCTAAATGAACACGTGAGTAATAAGAAAGTGAAACAAACTTATTGCTGATATGGAGAAAGTTTGGGCAGTCTGGATAGAAGATCAAATCAGTGACAACATTCACTTAAGCCAAAGCCTAATCCAGAGTGAGGCCCAAATTCTCTTTAATTCTGTGAAGACTAAGAGAGGTGAGGAAGCTGAAGAAGACTAGTTAGAGGCTAGTAAAAGTTGGTTCATGACATTTAAAGAAAGAAACCATCTCCTTAACATAAAAGTAGAAGATGAAGCAGCAAATGCCAATGAAGAAGCTGCAGCAAGTTATCCAGAAGATCTAGCAAAGGTAATTGATGAAGGTGACTACACTAAACAACAGATTTTCAGTGTATATGAAACAGCTTTATATTGGGAAAAGATGCCGTCCAGGACTTTCACAGCTAGGGAGGAAAAGTCAGTGCCTGTGCCTGCTTTCAAAGATTCAAAGGACAGGCTGACTTTCTTCTTAGGGGCTAATATAACTGGTGACTTTAAGTTGAAGTCAATGCTGATTTATCATTCAGAAAATCTCAGGGCTTTTAAGAATTATGCTAAATCTACTCAGTCTGTGCTCTAGAAATGGAACAACAAAGCCTGGATGACAGTACATCTGTTTACAGCATGGTTTACTAAATATTTAAAAATTCAAAATATTACTGTTCATTAATAATGTACCTGGTCTCCCAAGAGCTCTGATGGAGATGTACAAGGAGGTTAATGTTGTTTTCATGGCTGCTGCCACAACAGCCATTCTGCAGCCCATCAATCAAGAAGTAATTTTGAATTTCAAGTCTTACTATTTAAGAAATACATTTTGTAAGTCTATGGCTGCCATATATAATGATTCCCCTGATAGAACTGAGCAAAATAAATTGAAAACTTTCTAGAAAGGATTCACTATTCTAGATGCCATTAAAAACATTCATGATCCATGGGAGGAGGTCAAACTTCCAGGAGTTTAGAAGAAGTTTATTCCAACCTCATGGATGACTTTAAGGGGTTCAAGACTTCAGTGGAAGAAGTAACTGCAGGTGTGGTGGGAATAGCAAGAAAACTAGAAATTAGAAGTGGATCCTGAAGATGTGACTGAATTCCTGCTTTCTCATGATAAAACTTTAAAGGATGAGGAGTTACTTCTTATGGATGAGCAAATAAAGTGGTTTCTTGAGATGGAATCTATCTCTGCTGAAGATGCTGTGAACATCGTGGGAATGACAACAAACGATTTAGAATAGTATATCAACATAGTTGATAAAGCAGCGGCAGGGGTTGAAAGGACTGAATCCAATGTCAAAAGAAGTTCCACTGTGGGTAAAATGCTATCAAACAGCATCACATGCTACAGAGAAATCTTTCATGAAAGGAAGAGCCAATTAATATGGCAAACTTCATTGTTGTCTTATTTTAAGAAATTGTTACAGCCAGCTCAACCTTCAGCAACGACCACCCTGATCAGTCAGCAGCCATCAACATTTAGGCAAGACCCTCCTCCAGCAAAAAGATTATGATTCACTGAATGTTCAGGTGATTGTTAGCATTTTTTTAGCAGTAAATTATTTTTAAATTCAAGTATGTACATTATTTTAGCATAATGCTATTGAACACTTAATGGAAAAATTGTAGTGTAAACATAACTTTTATATGCACTAGGAAACCAAACATTTAATGTGACTTGCTTTATTGTGAAAATTGCTTTATTGTGGTGGTCTGGATCTGAACCCACAATATCTCCGAGGTATGACTATATGTGTATAATTTTGTTTTTTGTTTTTGCATTTTTTTGCATGGTTAGGATTAGAGTGAAGTGATTAAGGCCCTAATTTTCTCAGACAAAAAATTCATAGGGATGCCAAAAGTTCAGTCATTAAAATAAATATTTTAATGCAATATTTTTTAAAAATCTAATTTAATGAAAAAATTCGTAATGAAAACTGTTAATATTTTAAATAGAGACAGGCTGTTGTTTTTTGTTTTATAATCTGTAATATTAGGCAAATATGTTTTTAGAGCCTTGGAAACTAGAAATAGTGTCCCTCTCCAGAACAGGTGGCAGATTTGTTTGCTACTCAGTATAATAAAGATAATGTCTCTATCTGGGGCAAGGATCAGGGAGGTTTGCTTGCAGCCATTTATAAAATACTTTGATTTTCTGATATTAAGGTCCCTCAGCTGTGACTTAGGTGTGTGACATCTATTTGGGTCTCTCTGTGTTGCCTTTGTGGGATTTGGGGGTCAAGGAAAACTGACACAAGCATGAACTCATGCTTTGTGCTGTACTGGGAGTAATAAAGGTCTTTGTCTCTAACACGGGGACTTACTGTCCTCTGACTGCATCCGTGAAATCCACACTAACTTGCCAGGTTTCTAGTAGGGTAGAAATTACAAATCTTTCACAATTCTTAACAGGAATGTTTTTTTTAATCCCATTTTGGGAAAAAGGAATAGTCTGTGTAAAGATTTGCAGCTCTAAGAGAAGTAAAAGCTTGGGTCAACTGAAAGACAACGTGCACAGAAGGTAATACCTAGAATAATGTAGCAAAGGGACTGTGGCTGGAGCTTGAAGAGCCTTTTGTGCCATGTAAATGATTTGGACTTTGGACCATAGGCTTCATGCAGTCAGTGGAATGTTTTAAATAAAAATATAATAGTTTCACATTTGTTTATTAGAAAGACCACTCTGACAGAGTGGAGTATTGACTGGAGTCAAGAACAACCACTAGGAGGCTGCTGGAATAGTAATAAAAATAATAATATAGTAGTTAGAATTGCTGACATGTATCGGTCCTTGAGTTCCAGACACTGTATTAGGTTCCTCAGCCAGGATTATATTCTTCATTCCCGTGAGAAAAGAAGTTATTATCTATATTTTATATATTAGGGGAATGAAGTGGAGAGAAGTAAGTTAATTTGTGTAACTGAATGGCAGAATGAAGGTTGGGACTCGAGCTCTCTGACTCCAGACTCCAGGTTCTTAACCACTATGTAAGTATGGTTTTCATTACATGTACTCCACTTTTGCCATTTAAATTCCTATGTTGGGATCTTATGTCCAATATGGACTATAGGCGCTTTGTGTCAGATTGAATGTTTACTTCTATGTGTATTTACCCTGAAATTTCTAGTTATCGTTGGTCACACTATCCTTCAAATACATTATAGTTATTTTATCTCCTTCAAGTATATTACCTTGTCATTGATCGGGTTAAATTCCCATAGTTTTATTCTTGTTCACATCAACTCACACTCTCTAGATCTGTTTGTGTAATTTTACTGTCTTTCCCAGTGTGGGAAACTTTCTAATTGAGTAACAGTGGAGAATTTAATGAGCCTGCTTTTTCTCTTCCAGTCCATTAATGAAGACTTAAAATGTCCTTTGTTTTTGTGCCATCACGTGTTACAAATTAATGCAATCATCAGAATGCTAAGAGATTCTATTTTTATTAAGCAATGTAAATAGAAAATGCTAATTATGCATGTCTGTGAAACATTATTGAACTTAATAATGCATTGATTATCTCATATAGATTCTTTTATCAATAAATAATATAGATAATCCCTATATAATCTGAAATTTCTAATAGAATACATAAGTGAAAATTGGAAAATAATTTCAAATTCAGTCCATTCATTTGTCAGCTAATTATGATTTAAATAAATATTTGTTATTTTTCATACAAGAAGTTTTCATGATAGAGGACGACAATAAGAAAATGGGAGGAAAAGGCAAATTAGATGTAAATATTCAAATCTTCACGGTGGAAAATATCAAACTATTATATAAATACATAGCTTCGTTCTGTACTTTATGGTCGGAACCATGGGCTATTAGTTTATTTGGTAAATTTGACTATTTGATGTCTATTTAATGTCTACATTAACTATTGTTTTGGTAACAGCTTAAGTGACATACAACTCACATGCCATACAATTCACCCCTTTAAAGTGTGCAATTCGGTAGTTTTTTAGTATATTCACAGAGTTGTGCAACCATCACCACAATCAATTTTAAACATTTTGACCACCTCAAAGAGAAACCCTGTGCCCTTTAATTGTCACCTCATCCCCTTTAACAATCCCCACATCCCCTTCAGCTCAAGGCAACTGCTACTTTCTGACTCTGTAAATTTACCTATTCTGGACATTTCATGTAAATGAAATCGTATAACATGTCATATTTTGTGACTGGCTTCTTTCACTTAATGCAATGTTTTCAAGGTTCATCCACATTGCAGCATGTGTCAGTACCTCATTCCTTTTTACGGTTTCATTACATGAATGTGCTACCTTTCATTTATCCACTAATCAATTGATAAACATTTGGATTGTTTACACTTTTGGCTATAATGAATAATGTTGTTATGAACACTCATGTACAAGTTTTAATGTGGACACATGTTTTTCTTTCTCTTGAGTGTGTACCTAAGATTGAGATAGCTGGGTCAAATGAAAACCTTATGTTTAACCTTTTGAGGAAATGACAGACTGTCTTCCAAAATGATTGCACCATTTTACATTCCCTCCAAAACTGTTATAAGAGTTCCATTTTTTTCCATATCCTCGCCAACACTTGTTACTATCTGACTTTTAAATTATACCTGTCCTAGTGGGTGTGAAGTGGTATCTAGCTGTTGCTTTGATTTCCATGTCTCTGATGACTAAACTCAACTGATTGGATGAGGCCCATGCACATTAGGAAGGGGAATCTTCTTCACTTAGTCTACCAATTTAAATGTTAATCTCACCTAAAAACACCCTCACAAAAATACCCAGAATCATGTTTGACCAAATATCTGGGTACCCCACGGCCCAGTCAAGTTGACACATAAAATTAACCATCATAGGACTCTTTCCACAGATCTTTTTCCTTTGCCACACAGACAGGACTAGTGCCTCAGAAGTGCACGTTATTGGTGTACTGAATTTGCCTTATACCAGCTCATGAGGGACAATTGTTAAAATTTCAGGAATTGACAGCCAATTGTTAAACATAGCCTATATTAAAAATTAAATTATATAAACTTACAATTAAATGAATTATTTTAAAAGCAAAGGTAGTACTCAAATCGTCCTAATTATTTCACTGGATTATATGATTATGCTCTTGAGATCAATTACATCTATTTTATCTGTATGGTGGAAATACCATATAATGGTATGCTACTATACACACTCTTTCTTAGTTTTGCATTCAATTACGCTACATTGGTAACTTAAAACCTGACATGGTGGGAGTATTTATACCATAGGAATCAACAAATGCTACAAATTAAACCTTTAAAGGTTTTTTTTTTTCCTGGAAAACTTGTGTTTCATTATTCATAAGCACATACAAATAATCTCCATTATCTATTTAATAAAGTTGTATTTTTATTTTACAAATATTAATCCATTTTAATCTTCATAGTGACCTCATGGGACAAGTACTATTGCTAGTCCCATTTTTCTGAAGTACAGAGAAGTTAGGTGACTTGTCCAAGGTCACACAGCTAAGTAGGTAAGCAGTTTGGTTCCAGGGTCCATGTTCTTAATCACTGTGCATGAAGCCTTTTCTTTTCTGAAAACACTACATATTCTAGGGAACTATATATTCATCCACATTAGAGCTTGAATTGTTTTCTTTGTCTCCAGCCTCCTTAATGTGTCCACCCCTGGTCTCAGGCCCACTCTAGTAGCTGGCCTGAATCTATGGAGTCCAATGCCCAGAACCAGGGGTGGCCACTCGGGTCCTATGTGCAGCGGGATTCCCCTCACCACCTCCCTCTTCCCCTTGTCACTTTTTCTCTCACCTCATGATGCCTGTCTAGTTTGCTAACATTGCTACTTTCAAATAACTTTCACTTACTAATACTGTAATCCTGCATACATATTTTAAAACTGTCCAAATCTTAGTTTCTCCATAGATCAATTGGGGCTCATAATTGAGTAATAACATGTATGCAAAACCCTTGCTCTGTATCAAATACATGTGAGTTGAATTTAAGTGATCTCACCTTCACACATTCTCCCCTTTTTGGCTTGTGCTGCAGGAATCTATCATGCCATCTTCATCCTGCCCAGGATGCTTTCTTCAGTCACTGGGAAAGTGATGGACGCAGGCTTCTGGGCAGGATTTCTTGGGGAGTAATCATTCCTGCTAAGACGCAGGAATTGCTGGATGGGTCTGCGCGATCAATGGCAAGCGTCTTCCCCAGTGGGAATTCAATCCATTTTGGCTGCTTTAATGGAGCTCCTGGGGCTTAGACACTATTGAAAGGCAATTACTGACTTTCAGTTGTTTTAGCTCTGTGAGTTCATTGCTAGCCCCCTCCCTTATTCCCAGCTCTCCAAGTCTGCTCTGTCGCAAGTCAGCCTCTTCCTTTCTCTTAGTGGCAAAGACTGACTGTGGATCTTTCAAGGCTGCAATGTTCCTTTTTCTCCTTGTGGATTTTTACTTCTGATTCAATGTCCCCTACCCCATTAGCCACATACACGACTACTTCCTTGTTCTCTGCTCAGTTGAAACTTGTTAGCCCAGAAAAACAGAAATTTTGTAACAACTGGAATTAGCTATTCAGAATGAGCTCCATCAAACACAGCAGGACTCAAGCCCCTCATTCTTTTACAGCAGGTTCAGCAACATTTTCTGTAAAGGCAAATACTGTGGTAAATATTTTAGGCTCTGCAGGCCACATGGTCTCTGCGTCAACTACTCCACTTTGCTGTTTTAGCTTGAAAGCAGCCACAGACAAAATGTAAACAAATGGTTATGGTTGGCTTTCAATAAAACTGTATTTATGGATGCTGAAATCTGAATTGCATATAATTTTCACATGCCACAAATATTCTTCTTTTAATTTTTCTTTCAGCCATTTAAACATATAAAACCATTCTTAGCTCATGGGTTATACAAAAATGGGCTGCAGGCCAGATATGGCCCATGGTCCCTAGTTTGCTAAGCTCTGCTTTGTAGGAAATATCTTGTGAAACTGGAATCTGGGGGTTTAACATAACCTTCCCATAGACCCAAGCATGAAGATTTAATACCTGTGTCTGAGTCAATCTGTCCAGGTGAACTAACTAACTTGTTGGATAGCATCAGTTTTTTGGCAAATACCTCTTTTCAGTCATTTTAAGCATCTGAAAAGCAGAGCAGGCATTTTTACGAAATTAATGTTAATCAGTTAGTTATTCCAAAAAAAAAAAAAAACTAACTAACTCGTTGGCCACTGCCAAGCTTCTGTCTTGTATTAGGTTCCCTAGAAGGCAAGCTTCAGACAGAATTTTGGATGTTTGTGGTTTATTGAAGTGAAGAAGTGCTCTCGGGAGAAAAGGGGTATATATTCAAAAGAAAACAAACCTTTCTACCAAAAAGACATATACACTTTCATGTTAAATGCAGCACTATTCACAATAGCAGAGACATGGAATCAACTTAGGTGCCCATCAGTGGTGGATTGGATCAAGAAAATGTGGTACATATACACCATGGAATACTAGACAGCCATAAAAAAGAACAAAATCATATCCTTTGTAGCAACATGGATGCAGCTGGAGGCTATTATCCTAAGTGAATTAATGCAGGAACAGAAAACCAAATACCGCATGTTCTCACCTGTAAGTGGGAGCTAAACATTGAGTACTCATGGATATAAAGATGGCAACAATAGAAACTGGGGACTATTAGAGTGGGGTGGGAGGGGTACAGGGGTTTAAAAACTATCTGTTGGGTACTCTGGTCAGTACCTAAGTGACGAGATCAATCATACCTCAAACCTCAGCATCATGTAATATGCCCAAAAACAAACCTGCACATGCACCTGAATCTAAAATAAAAGTTGAAAATAATAATTTCCATAATAATAATAATAATAATAATTGTTGTTTATTGATGAGTAGTATCCCATCATATGGACCATGGTTTAATTATTTACTTGTTGAAAGATGTTTGTTCTGTGTCCAGTGTTTTGGGTATTATTAATAATGCTGCCACAAATATTCATTACAGGTTTTGTGTGAACACAGCCATTTCTCTGAGCTAATGCTCAATGTAGCCCCTTCTAAGGTATAAAAATCTCTCTAACTATGTGGCAAAGCACTCTAGAATTGCAGGGTTGAATGGGCTCTTAGAAGTCATCTAGTCCAACTCCAAGCCATTAGCCTTAAAATAAAAGTTTTTAAGCTTTTCTGTGAGAGCTTATACGAGTGCCCAGAGGTATCAGAGTGAAGCTGAAAACTTTAACAGGCAACATTCATCTAGAGAGTTCATATTTCTGAAACCTGGAACAGTCAATCAAGTTCCTTTTAGGGTAAATAAAAGAGTCTCACTTTAAATGAGCGGAAGCAAAGTTTTAAAGCACATACAGTACTTGGAATCCCAGCAGCAGGAAACAGAAACCCTGACCTGAAGAACAAAGGTAGTTTCCCTTTTGTCTCTGTTTCTCTCCCACTATATGATAGCATATGGTCTCTCAGGACATCTTCTCCCTGCTCATGTATTTTACTCTCTTTTTCTTTCCTCAACTATCTTTGTTTCTTTGTGCTCAGTGTCACCCCTCCACAGACCCTGGATTTCCATTCCCTCAGTTTAAGCCAGACACAGAGGATTTCTATCCTTTTCTGAATCCTGATTCTTATTTTTTTTTTACAAGAGCACAAACCCACTTTTATTTATTTACTTTTCATTAGTTTAAATCCTTGAGGGATACAGCATCACACGGATTTTGTGTCCAATGGCCTTAGCAGGAGGATTGCTTTGGAATTTGGAACAAACCATGCCACCGTTTCCATGGGCCTGAATTACCTTTCCCCAGATTATTATGGCTTTGTTTGGTTTACCACCAGGAGTCACTGTGTTGTTCTTCCCTTTGTACACATAAGCACATTTCTTGCCCAAATAGAATTCAGTTTCATCTCAGGCATAAACACCTTCAATTTTAAGAAGAAATGTATGCTCCCTTTGGTTCTAGAGACCCCACTTACAGACGGCAAAATGACCTTGGACCATAGCCTTCCAGACATCTTTGCCTTTTAGAAGTCCTGTTCCCAACAGGTCTCCACAGGCTGCAAGATGGTGGAAGGAATCTGATCCTTAATTTCTAGGACAGAAAATATGGTTGCCCTAGCTTGGTACATATGTTGTCCTCTAACAGTCAGCAGTGACCAGTTGCTTGGAGTGACAATGAGGCACTTATCACAGAGAACTGATATGGCTGTCACTTTTGTGGGTGAATATTCATAGGCAGGTCAAATCCACAACTAGTAGTCTATTCAAAGCCTTATGTTAATTGTGTAGTTACATGGCATTTTGTTAAAAATATAATATTCTCTCCCTTAGAGGATTTAGGGGTTGAATCTCAAGTTGAAATGAAGTGTTTGTGTTACATCTTAAAATGATGAAATCCACATAGATACATTCCACTTACATTATTCTTAAAATCTACCTTTACCCAAGTCAGGCCTTTTGGAGGGTCCAACAACAAAGCAAAACAAGGTGAGAACAGCGCCACATTCTGTCCCATCCCTATACAGAATCAGTGCCAACCACCTTTGGTCCACACATTATCGGACATCTTTGGATGAGGACAGGGTAATTCAGTTTTGAGTACACTTTTCTTGCAACTTGTAAAGCAAGAAATAGAGCTGGAGAAAGACATCTAGAAACATTTGCTTTCGATTGACTAAGCTTTTATCTATATATGAATTCCTCAAATAAATAGATATAATAATGTAAATATATACAAATGTTTATATATATACAGTGTTGTCCTGAAGACTAAATGAGATGACACATGTAAAACACTTAGAACAATGCCTGGCACTAAGTAACATGTCAAATGTTAGCTATCATGTGGCAACATCTTAGCACCATCAGCAGTTGAGGTTCTCAAGAAGTGAACTGGATCAAACTTTGAAGTGGCCAGTAATGAACGACACTGACTGCTACTGCAGTGCTGTAAGCTTTGGTTGTAGGTAGAAATGATCTTATTGAAGATGTGATGGGCTTCCATGTATATGGATATATTTAGCAGATATATTTAAGGACCAGACATGGGCTTCTTTTTATGCTGTAAAAATAAGATGTAGAAATTTAGAATTGACTGTAAATTCAATCTCCAAAATAAAATCAAATTAATTTAAGTAAAAATTCCTTTTGTTTCCCAGGCCCTTTCATTTTCCTTCTATATATATATATATACACATTTTTAGAGAGACTTGCCAATTTTTAAAATTTGATCTGTTGGCATGTGTTCTTATTCATTCTAATATGCAGGCTGTATTTTGTCCCTAATTTACATGTTCTGACAAGAGAAATGTATGTCTGAATTGGGGGGATGAGTAATTTTAATCTGATGGCACATTGGGGAAGAAGACATTGTATGTGAGTGATATTTTTTCAGAGTGTAATTATCAGTGTTACTCTAAGGCAGAAATGAAAAAAATCAATCTTTTTTCCACAAGTAAATGGAAATAGATTTTAGTTGTATTAATGAGAATCAGGTTAAAGCCTTTTGTTTATAGGTGTATGTGTTGTTAGTTAAAATTGAGTTTTTCTTTTCAGTGTTTGCTATTCGGGGAGCTCTGTAATTGCTCAATTATATCCCAAAGGTAGTGTCTCAGTAGACTTCTTTCTGATTGAATACTCTTAAGAAATTCAGTGCTGACTTTTTAAAATAAAGGCTCTGGATTGTTCTCTTGTCTTTTTCAGTTATTCAAAATAATTACATGGTTTCATCATTGTTGTGGTTATACTACAATTTCTGGGATAATAAACAAATACTAAAACAAACAAAAAATGAAAAAATAAGATCCCAAAGTGGTGGGAAAAATCTACTTAACTCATAAGTCCACAGGAGGGCTATACTAGGATTTGTCAGAAAAAAGGGCATAATCCCTCTCCTCTTCAACTAACCTGGGAATCTGAAAAATGTGAGGAGAGTGTAAAGTTAGAGTTATGAAGCCCTGAAATAATGTCTCAGAATAGTGAAAAAAAGTATGGTAGACGGTGTCAATTGGCACACAGGAGCCATCTCAACCTCTTCTCCTTTGCCACTTTTTTGTGAAAGAGGTAAAAGAAATAAATACTAATATTCCTGGTCTCTCCTATAACTACGGTTGTCCATGTGACACAATTCCAGTCAGCCAGATGGATGAAGAAGTCTGCCAGGAGCTTCTGCAAAAGGTCTCTCTTACTTACAGAGGGATAAATATGTGAGGAGTACTCTCTAGCACAGCTCCTTTACTCTTCTTTCTGACTTGAATGTGGAAATGTGATGTTCTTCTGCTTTGAACTGAAGCAGCCATGTTGTGACCATAAGGCAGTAACCTAAAGCAGAAAAACCTACAGGCTGACGATGCCAGAATAGAACGATAGAAAGATCCTGAATTTTTGAAGGCTTCATCGAGCCATCACACCAAACATGGAACCACCAGTTTTCTTGTTGTGTAAAATAGTGGAATTTATTTATTATTTAAACCACTGGTAGCCGTGAATTCTCTAACTGTAGCCAAAAACACTCCTAGCCAATACAAAAAGAGTAGAACTAATATCCTATAACATGCTATCCCTGGTTATATACAGATACCAGGAGACCACAGTAGTGCCTTTCAATCCATTGTGCATAAAGATAAATAAGAAGAAACAACCTTATTGGTTTATAAAAAGTAGGAAAGGATGCAGTATGCTCCATAGAGACTCTGATGGGCTACTGAAAACGAGTAATAATCACAAAACATATTGGAAGCAGCATTAGTATGATGGTTGTAGCAGATTGTATTATTGGCCTCAAATCTCCACCCTTCTCTGTAGCCACACATTTTGCCATGAGTGTCTGTAGTAACTCTCACCTCCTTCCTTACCCCTTGACGTCAGGCTTGGCCATAAGCCTTGCTTTGGCCAATGGGTATAATTGGTTATAACATTAAGTGGGGACTTGAAATGCACTTGCATAGTGCATCTTGCCTTCTTAACCTTCTACCATCACCATAAGAACATATCTTGACTACTCTGCTGATTCCAGCCGGGGAAGCTCTGCTGAGGCCAGCCCAGATCAGCTAACCCACAGATATGCAAGAAATAAACAGTTCTTTGTTGTTTGGCACTGGGTTTTTTTTGTGATTATTCATTACACAGAATTTATACAGCAATATATAACTGAAAGAGACTCTAGGTTAAGAGACTCTAGGACCAGACTGATGGGTTTTGACTTCCTGCTCTGTACTGTGTGAGTGGGCAAGGTAAGATTGGAAATGTCAACCTAATACTGAAGCCCTTGCTGTTAATCATTATTCTATACTATCTCTGCCAAGTACACTCTGGTAGAAATGTATAGGAAGGTGATGTTCAAATCTGGGGCCCCATAAGAGCAGTTGTTCATATTCAGTGGAGATTTCTGGAAGGAGGGCATCTTAACCGTGAACTCCAGAAAAAGAGCTATCCAAAAACATAAATAAATTATGTATTTATTGCACACTGACTTTTTTCTTAAAATGGACATGTTAGTTTTCAAGCTTGACAAAGTAATGATATGTCAAAAGGTGATGGTGAATGAATATCAGGGAATACTTGCATACAGAAATGTGGCATATACAAAAAGTTGTGAGTAAGTTGGAGGATAGCTCCTGAGACTTGATCAGATCCACTGCAGGAGGGACTTCACATCTGATTTCACAGTCCGGTGTATCACAGGTGGGTGAAGGGACCCTAGGGTAGGAGCTCTAAGCCAACTACAGGTGCTGAACATACCTTCCATCCAGTATGTTTCACTCTCAACAGTACGAACATCTGTGTATCCAGGTCCTTATTTATCCTAAACCAAGTTAGCGATTTGATTGATTGGCATGTGTGTGAGTCTTACCATCAGTGTGTCTCTAATATAACTGTAAAACCACTTCAGAATTTTTTTTTACAGATACATGCTTGCAAAGACAAATGTAGGAGGATTTTCACTGCAGCTTGATTTTCAAAGCTCATCAGTGAGGAAATGGTTACATAATTAATGTATAGCCTGGCATATCCAAGGAATGAATACAAACCAGCCATTTAAAGGAATGGGATAAGGTGGACCTATATGTATTGATAGACAACAAATGCAAGACACATTGCTAAAGGTGAAAAAAAGCCAAATGGATGTAAAATAGCTTGTAACATATGTTTTCACTTATGTCAAACAAAGGAATAAACTCACCTTCATATATAGTCACAGATTTATAAATACACATAGGTGTCCCTAGAGAAATGTATCTTTTTACTTCTTATAATTAATCTAATCTTCCTCTTGATCTCTCACCTGAATGAATAATGGAGAGAAACTTAATCCTACTAATTAATCATATCTTACTCATACAGAAATATTTTGCTTTAAATTTTTGTTTTGAATTTATAAGTTCACAGGAAATTGCCAAAAATATACAGGTAGGTCCCATGTACCCTCACTCAGCTTCTCCCAATAGTAACATCTGGCAAAACCATAGGACATCAAAAGCAGGAAAGTGACATTGATATAATATAGACTTTATTAATATTTCACTTTTTTCATGCATTTGAGTTTGTGTGTGTGCGTGTAGTTCTGTGCAATTTGATCACATGTGTACCTTCATGTAACCACCACCACAATCAAAATACAGAACTGTTCTATCACCACAAGGCTCCTTTCTGTTACTCCCTTATAAGCTATACCTGTTCCCTTCCCTCCAGTCTTAACTTCTGGCACCACTAATCGGTTCTCTATCTCAATAATTTGTTATTTCAAGAATAACAAATATATGTATGTAAAATGTTTTTATTTATATAAATTGAATTGATTCAATTATAATCATGTTGATGCAGGAACACTGTGAGATGTGATATCTCCCAAGAATCCCAAATGGGAAGAAGAAAAAAGCCCCTATGTTTTTAGATCCCTCCTCAGTCCTTCTACTACCAGCACTACTACTGATACTCTGGATTTGGCACAGGGCAGGGGAGCCATAATACCTGTGTCTGACTGTCTGCCTTTCTTCTCCTGCACATAATTCTCCAATGCTGGTGAAGTGGGCCACATGTTCCTCTTCACTTTGGGTGGGACTTCCTCTATATTAATCCTCTTCCTTCCCAAAGGAACATTAATTTTATTCATTTCTAAGGATTCATATAGTTTCTTTTGTAGTGCTGGGTATTAAAAAAGTTCAGCTCAGAGAATAGAGAAAGAAAATATGAGGAGGAGGAAATGGCTAGAGCCCAGTGTATTCATGTGATAACTGAAGGAACCATCCAGAAAGACCAAAAGGACAGTCTGAAAAAAATTGTAAGATTAAAGCAGGAGGTATAGGAAGTATAAAAGGGCAACTGAGGCCATTTTCCCCCCATTGATTAAAGAAGATACCATAGTTAACTATTTTGTACACTGAGTCAACATTTGTAGGGTTCATATCATGACATGTGGCTGTGATACGAGGTGGGGGAGTATCTGAGGGATAGATTGAAAGATGTAATGCTGTCGGCCTGTGCCAAAACAGCCCTAAGGATGAATTCAACACTAACAGTCCCCAACACTCATCAGACCACTTAGCTACACTTGAAAAGCAAAGAAAAGAAGAATAGTCTAACCTAGGAAATTTCTACTTAAATCATCCTACAAATACTCATCACCTACTATATGGCAGGCATCATGCTAGGCACAAATGATAAAGTTATTAGCAAAGACAGAACTCATGATCTCTCCTCTACAAACTATGATGTTTTCATAGTTTGTCAAAGATAGTCAAAGATATTAAAATATTTCAGATCAATTATGCATCCTTTTATAAAGAAAGAAGCTCAACTCAGGTTACATCCTCGTGTTAATTTTTAAGTCCTATTTATTATAGGGAAATATTCAAACTCTACTGTCAGGTTTCATCATATTTCTCTAAAAAGGCTTTTTTTAATAAAAAACCCACACTATGTCATTAATGATTCTCTTATAATTTTTATTAGCTGCATAAGATTCTGGTGAATACACATAACACTTAATTCTTCCTTTTGGGTATCTAGGGTATTTTAAATTTTTAGATAAAACTAAAAACCCCACATAGTCCACCTTTAGCATTATATGGGTAAATATTTGAGCATATTACTAATTGTTTCCCTAGGAAACAGTTTTAGAAATTGAATTGTTAGGTCAATGGACATAAATACGTTTAACAAGTTTCCCACACATAAAGATTGCATTAATTCTCAATACCACAAAGCAGTGTATTAGAGTGTGTTTTTCCACATTGTCCTCATCACTGAGAATTACTGACCCTTTCAATCCTTCCTAATTTGGTGGGTGAAAAATAGTATCTTGCTATAAAAGCAGTTTGCATTTTTAAAAATTTAGCAAGGGTAAACTTTAAAAATATATTTGTAGGTACATCATTTCAGTGAATTTCTTATTCGTTTGTTTTCATTGAAATTTTTGTGTACTTTATACATTAATACTATTCACTATTTTTTTGAGACAGGGTCTTGCTGTCTTGCTCTGTTGTCCAGGCTGGAGTTCAGTGTGCAATCGTGGCTCACTGTAGCCTCAACCTCCTGGGCTCAAGCAATTCTCCTGCCTCAGCCTCCTGGGTAGCTTGGACTACAGGTGTGTACCAGCACACCCAGCTAATTTTTTAATTAATACTATTAATTCATCTATTATACATATTGCAAATTTGTTTCTTAATTGATTAAATGCTTTTAAAATTATGTTTTTTGGTGTTTTTTGACAAAGGTTTTTTTATGCTTTGTTTTACTTTGTGAAGTCAAATAAATCTATTTTTTTCATTTATACTTTGTCTTTATTGTCATAGAAATGCAACAGAACCTGTAAATTTTGTTTATGGTTTGTCTAGATTAGCAAAGTGGAACTTCTCATTTAATCAATATAAACAATAGAAGAAAAATAAAATGTACTACATGTATCTTAAATGTTATACGCATTCTATTTTCTTATTCTCTAATACATTTAACTCTTATACTTCAGAGTGTGCTATGATTAGGCCTATTTTTACAGAGGAGAAAACAGGCTAGGGGAAAATATGTATCCATTTTATAGGATGCGGAAATGAATTTGCTATTTTATGTTATCCTAGAAATTTACATTTGTTTCTTAATTTTGATGGCACTTTCTTAGTCATATTTATTTGATAACGTAGATTTGATCAAGGATCTGACCCCAATTGTAAAGTTACCTATTGGAACAAAACTGGCTTCCTGGGCTTTTAGAGGAGCTGAAGAACAGAATAACAGAATCTCCCCAGTCCCAGAAAGGTTACCTCAGTTTCCAACACGAATGCACATTCTCAGGGATAGGTAGCAAAACTCTCAGGTATCTCTAATTGCAACATCAATTTTTTTTCCACTGAGATGGAGAGAACAAGGTTTAAATGCATTTCCTCTATGAAGTCAGGACAAGATAACATTCTACGGAAAGCCCAGAAGAAAATATCTGGTACTTCAAAGTTTTCAAAACCTTGTGTTCTGTTGATTTCATCCATAATGAATTATCTGGAAGCAAAGTGCCTACATTAGCAAAGAAGCTGATATTTATAATATGTGACACAGACTTTTCACCCTCAGTATTTCTAGGATACCAGAGTCTCCGTTAACAGCAAAATAATCAACAGGTGTCTGCAAAGCTGCTCAGTGTGAAAAGTGCGCTAATGAGGAAAGCTGCTAAGTGTCAAAATGGCAAGTACAAGGAAGGCGTGTGTTCTCAGAAAAAAAAAAAAAAAAAAAAAAACGCCTTTGGAATTTCCTGGAGTGAGCTTACATTTTGGGCCCAAGGTGTATCTGTGCCCAAGTCTCAGAATTCTAGTTTCATAGAATCTTGGGGTCAGCAAATCCCTTAAAAGTGTAATTGAAGCAGATTAATGGTTGCTTGGCACTTGCCCTGGGTAGCTGGAGTTGACTGAAAATGGGCATAAAAATATTTGGGTGGTGATGAAAATGTTCTAAAACTGAATTGTGATGATAGTCTCACAACTCTATAATAAATTTACTAAAAAATCATAGAATTGTACAATTTAAATGGCTGAATTTTATGGTATATAAATTATACCTCAATAAAGCTATTTTTAAGGAGTAATTCAGTCCAACCCCTCCACCAATACTTGCATCTTCTCTTATTTGTTTTATTTTGAATTGACAAATGATAAATGTTTACATTTATGGGATATAATATGATATTTTGATATATGTTTACCATGTGGAATGATTAAATCAGGGCTAATCAACAAATCTGTCACTTTACATACTTATTTTTTGTGGTGAAAAATTTAAAATCTACTCTTAGCAATTTTGAAATATATAATGCATTATTATTATTTATTATAGTCACCATTTTTTAATATATTAATACTACAGTTCTTTGCAATAGATTAAAGCTTATCCCTTCTGTTTAACTGAAATTTTGTACCCTTTGATCAACATCTACCCTTTCCCCAATCATCCCCCTCCCCCAGACTCTAGTAACTATCATTCTACTCTCTACTTCAATGAGTTCAACTTTTTTAGTTTCCACATATAAATGAGATCATTCAGTATTTGTCATTCTGTGCCTACTTTATTTCACTTAACGTATGTCCTCCAGGATCATCCACTATGTTAGGCCATTCTTGCATTGCTATAAAGAAATACGTAAGGCTGGGTAATTTATAAAGAAAAGAGGTTTAATTGGCTCAGAGTTCTGCAGGCTATCCAGAAAGTATGATGCCAGCATCTGCTCTGCTTCTAGGGAGGTCTCAGGGAGCTTTTACTCATGGCAGAAGGTGAAGTGGGAGCAGGCATCTCACATGGTTGTTGCAGGAGAAAGAGAGAGAGGGTGAGGGCAGGTGCTGCACACTTTTTACAACCAGATCATGTGTGAACTCAGAACAAGAGCTCACTTATCACCAAGGGGACGATGCCAAGCCATTCATGAGGGATCCGTCTCCATGATCCAAACACCTTTCACCAGGCCCCACCTCCAACATTGGGGACCACATTTCAACATGAGATTTGGAGGGGACACATATTCAAACCATATCATCCACATTATCATAAATGACAGGATTTCTCCTTAAGGCTGAATAGTAATCCATTGTGTACATATACCACATTTTCTTTGTCCATTCATCTGATGATGGACACTCACATTGGTTCCAAATGTTGGCTATTGTAAATAATGCTACAGTGAACATGGGAGTGCAGAAATCTCTTTGACATACTGATTCCAATTCCTTTGATATATACTCAGAAGTAGGATTACTGGGTCATACATTAGTTATATTTTCAGTTTTCTGAGAAACTTCCACACTATTTCCATAATGGCTGTATTAATAATGTACATTCCCACCAACAGTGCACAAGTGTTCCTTTTTTGACACATGCCCCCCAACCCTTGTTAACTTTCATCTTTTTGATAATGTCCTCTTATGTCAGCTGCCCCATCATAACCCTTCTGGCTTCCTCTGTAGCCAGAACTTGCTTTGCCTATGTGCTCCACAAGGGGGAAAATGTTGGATAACTATCTCTCCCTATACATAGTTCCCAACAATGAGGCATGGAAGTTGATGTACAATAATGTTTCCAAATTCTTCAACAGTTGAGAAAATAAATGGAAATATTTAGGAATTCTCGGGAATTTCCCAGATTATAAATCACTCTTTAAATACTTTAGTGTTCTTTATATTCTTTACTTATTATTACAGATATCTAAAAAATATTTAATGAATAATATATGTTACATTTAGTAATATTTACAAAGAACTGTGGACTCTAGTGAACATTCAAAGACTGGAAATGCCAATGAGTATTATTGGATATTATTTGAATAATGCAACATTCAGATCTCTTAACAAGGCTAACCACAGTACCCAGAATCGCATATTGAAATTGCCAGTGTAGTGACTTATTTTGCTTCTAAAACTTGTTATTCTAATGTACATCTGATTTCACAGTCTGGTATATCACAGGTGAGTGAAGGGACCTAGGGTAGGAGCTCTAAGCCAACTACAGGTGCTGAACATACCTTCCATCCAGTATGCTTCACAAGGTATAGTTATGGATATAAACTTATGAATATTTATTTTATTTTCCAGAATGACTCACTGTTAGCAACAGACAGAACCACGAACACACGACACTTAACATGGCAACAGATACAAGCAAGACTGACCAACTATATTGTGACGACTTCTCTGCTGCGTACTCCTGTCTCTGTTGCTAGAAAGGCTGACCTTAACCTTTTACTACATGTGTGAGTTTTTGCTTATACTTTTGCCCTTGCTTTTGACTCAACATTAGTGTATTCCTTTGAAACCATGATCTGTAGGTTGAGAGTTGTTTTAATTGCTACAGGAGAATTATAATATTATTCCCCATTTTCCCAATTTGTCAATGGATTTATCTCAGGATTCAGAATTCAGAAAAGCACATAAGTTTCTTGAGAAGTTCAGGGGAAGAAATTTCACATGGAAACATTAATAACAGTGGTTCTCAAAGTGTGGCCCCTGGACCAGCAGCATCAGCATCACCAGCAAATTTGTTAGAAATGCAAATTATCAAACCCCACCTGAGACCTACTGAATGATAAACACTGTGGATAGGGCCCAGCAATCTGTTTGCACAAGCTTTCTGGTGATTCTGATACAAGCTAAAGTTTGAGGAACACTGCTATATAGATACCCTAGCTTTCTCACCTCTCAGGATGGATAACACTGAAAAATATGTTCTACACTTACTTAGAGTTTCCCTCTCCAAGTGAGACCCAGTTTTCTCTGGTGCTAACTGCCTTGGCAAAACACTCTTTATTAGTTGCCTTCTCTTTCTTTTTACTTCTCTACAGGTGTTTCCTTGGATCACCCCCAAAGTAAACTACTTGCACTGGAATCCTTGCCTCAGGATTGGCTTCTGGGAAAACCCAAGTAAAAATACCTTTTTATAGCCTAAAAAGACAGGAGGAGGAATAGCAGAAAGAGGGTTCTGGTGTTGGGAAACCCTGGATCGGATTTCAACCCGCCACTTACCAGATGTATGACTTTGACTCAATTTCAGACCTTCTTTGAACCTGAGTTTCCTCCTGTTGCCTGTCTATCTTGCAGAGATGTTGGGAGAATAGGTGATAAGAAAGGCCCTGAGGTGCTCAGCAAGTTATCATGACTATCAGTAGACCTGATTAAAGGCAGTACAGCCATAGTTTGAATAGTTACAGGTCTGGGCAGGTCTAGGTTATAAAATTTCTCAATAGCCTCTCTTATTGCTTATGATTGTAGTCAAGGTAGGCCAAACCATAGAGCAGTAATAAACTAACACTAAAATCTCAGTACTCTATTGTAACAAAGGTTTGTCATCACAATCTAGTGAAGGTTGGAGAGACTCATTTCATGGACTTTCATCAGAGGGAAAGAGACTGAGTAGGAGATTACATAGCAAGTTTTATATCCAGGCCAGGAAGTAATATTCATTCTTATGCCTACATCCCATTAGCTAGAGCCCAGTCAGATGGCCTCAGCTACAAGGCTGGGAAATGTAGTTTTCCTTTATGCCTAGAAAGAAGAAAAATGAAACAGGTGTTGGTTAAGAGAGCATTTTCTCGGCCATAGCTCATACACCTAATACTGGAAAATGATTTTTTTTAAATGTTTTGGCCCAATAAAGATACCTTGTCTTTCCATTTTATTTGTATATGGTCTGCCCAAATGCCACACTGACACATGTCCCAATGGCATTCAATGTAAGAATGTTCTTTCAGTCAATAACAATGTATCTGTCACTATAAGCTTGGTGTGTGGTCTCTGCTCCTTTTCATCCTGGAAGATGTAATCTACTCCAGCTCAGCCTTCATTGACTGATTCTTCTGGTGGTGGTTCAGGGTGCACAACCACCCATACTCCTTTCCTAGCTGCCTCCACCCTGTTGACTGTCTCATTTTTTCCACTCACACCTGGAGTTACTTTGCTACTGTTGGTATTGATTAGTCATATTGTTATTTCAAAACTGAAAATTGATTCCACTTCTATGCATATGCCCAGCAGAAATGTGTATATATATATACACCAAAAATGTCTCTTAGCATGTTCATATAACACTACTTGTAATCAACAAAAACCAGAAACTATGCAAGTGCCCATCAGTAGTATCATGGAGATATTGTGAGCTATTCACACAATGGAATACTATATAGAAAAGAATAAATGATCTACAACTATGTGCAACAATATGGATGAATCTCACCAACACAATGTTAAACAAAAGAAGTCAGATACAATAAAGAATATATTTTGTG
Source organism: Homo sapiens (assembly GCF_000001405.40). NCBI lineage: Eukaryota > Metazoa > Chordata > Mammalia > Primates > Hominidae > Homo > Homo sapiens. The sequence goes on from NC_000023.11 coordinate 15,130,002, forward strand.
ATTTCATTTATACAAAGTTCAAAAACATACAAAGTTAGTCTATGGTATAAGAAGTCAGTAGAGGGGTTACCTTGGGTAGTCAGTTGAAAGGGGAACAAGGTGGGGCTGCTGGATGCTGGTAATATTCTGTTTTCTTTATCTGGGTGCCAGTTACATGAAAGTTTGTTATAATTTGTTTTCAGCTGTACACTTAGCATTTGTGCAGTGTTATGTATGTATGCCATGCTTTAGTAATTTTGAAAAAAAACTCAACATATATGTTACATTGCCTAAAATTTTTCTTCATAAATCCTCACTGTTTTTAAGTGCATGTGCTATTTATATGCAAGGACTTAGCTTTATTCATCTTCTTCTCCCAAGAACATAGTAGATGCCTAATTAATTTTCATAAAATTGTTCTATTCTGAGTGGGTTAGCCCATCATAGTTCATTACCAAAAAATCAATTGTATTCAGTTTTATTTAATTCAAAATCTAATTTTTGTTGCTGTTGATGATGATGATAATATCGTAATAATATCATAATAATAGCTGAGTTAGTTGAGTGCTGGCTTAATGGCAGAAACTGAACTTAATACTTAAAAATTGTATAAGTTGTATTTTTATTCCCATTTTACAGATAAGGAAACTGAGACACACAAATTCTCAGCTATAGGCCCAAGGTACATGAAAAGCAAGGTGAATCAGATTCCAGAACTCCTTCTTTTAATCACTACCTATATTAGTTTATATTGTTATATAACAAATTACAAGAATCCTAGCAGCATGAAATAACATACATTTACTATCCCACATTTTCCATGGGTCAGGAGTCCAGGCATGGCCTACATGGGTCCTCTCTTTGGGGTCTTAAAAGGTTGCAATCAGCCTGGTGTTAGCCATACTACATTTCTATTTGGAGGTTCAAATAGGAAATAATCCATTTCCAAGCTCCTTCAGGAAAGGCTCATTTCCTTGTGGTTGCAGGATTGAGGTCTTGAGGTCTCCATTTTCTTGCTGGCTATCAGGGACCACTCTTAGCTTCTCAAAGTTGCCCTCAAGTCCTTGCTACACGTCCCTCTTTGTGGGCCTTCTCACAATATGGCAGCATACTTCTACAAGGCCAGCAGGAGAAACTCTCTGACCTCTAGACCAGGGGTCCCCAACCTCAGGCCATGGACAAGTACTAATCTGTGGCCTGTTAGGAACTGAGCCACACAGAAGGAGGTGGGTGGCAGGCAAGTGAGCATTACCACCTGAGCTCCGCTTCCTGTCAGATCAGTGATGGCATTAGATTATCATAGGAATGAGAACCCTCTTGTGAACTGTGCCTGCGAGGGATCTAGGTTGCATGCTCCATATGAGACTCTAACTAATGCCTGATGATCTGAGGTGGAACAGTTTCATCCCAAAAATGCCCCCACCCCCCGTCTGTGGAAAAAAATTGTCTTCCATGAAATTGATCCCTGGTGCCAAAAAGGTAGGGGACTGCTGCTCTAGACCCTCTTTTAAAGGGCTCAACTAATTTGTTCAGGCCCACCCAAGATCATCTCTCTTTTAATTAACTCAAAGTTAACTGAGCAGTGACCTCATCGTATTTACATTTGCAACATCTCTTTACCTTTACCATATAATGTAAGCTAATCATGGGAGTGATATTTCACCATATTCCAGGTCCTGCCTACAATCAAGAGGGAGGAAATTACACAGGACATGTACACTGAGAGGACAGGAATCTTGCAGCCATTTTAGAATTCTGTGTACCACACTATTCTATTTAAGTACAAGTGTGTTGGATGTTAGGAAAGATGATGTTAGAATATCCAATATTAATTCATCCTGATCTTACTTGCCATAGGGAGAGTTTGGGTGATGGGGCCACAGATGCTTAGAGGGAGGCTGTGTTCTGGAATGATGGTGCATTGCTCATGTGGACCTGCCATGTCCATAGTGTAGCAGAGGAAACATTGGTGAAAATGTGAAAGAACTAGGTTATAGTGGTATTTGCTCTTAAGTTTTCCCCACCTTCTTTAACATCTCCCACTTCTCAGGAATAATGCGCAATTTCATTCAGCTGCCCAGGTCAGAAACCTGGGATTGGTTTTAGAATCATTTTGGAATCAATGCAGTTGATGTCATGCTCTATATCACTCAGTGCTGCAGCTGAGGAAGATGATTCCTGGCTGGCTGGCAACCTCCTTCCTTAAGCACCTGCATCTCAGTTCTCTGAGCACTTTTTCGGACAGTACAGGTGCTTGCTTAGCCACAGATGCCTAACACTGATGCCCACAGGAGCCAATGGTCTCAGGGGGAACCCCTCTACAAAAGAAGAGAGCCAGTGAATAAATGGCCCTGCCTTCTCATCCTCTTACAGAACAATTATGAAGTGTGTACCACACAGTTCCTCAGAAGGTCCCAATGGTATTGAGTCCCAATTGCCCCCAGCAGTAACCTGACCATTAGTTCACTCTTTATTGGCTTTTCTTTCTTCCCAGTCTCATATCCCCACCTTCCTTGCTTGTACTTTCTGGGGCCACCTCCCAGATAACCACCAGCACCCAAGCCTTTGTCTGCTTTGGGGTTTAGGGGATAAACTGAGACACTCTTTCTCTCCCATATGCTTCCTATTTCATTAATACCCAACCTCCTAAATACACGCTGCATCACTAACAACTTTCTTATAATTTATGCTAGCACTGTTTATTGCTAAGATGAATGCACTAAACTTTTGATCTCCCTTTCTCTCAGCCACTTGTATCCATCCTTCCTTGGCTGTCAGCATCCTTTTTCTAAAATGCAAAATTTATCTTGTCAGTCTCCTGACTCACAATTCTGAAAGGGATTTTCTTATCTAGTAGATAAAGAAAACTCCTTAGAGAAAAATACAAAGCAATTCATTCATTTATTCAATGAGCAGTTATTGAGTGTGTCTTATGTGTCAGGCATTCTGCTAAATGCTGCTGATGAACATGGCAGAGAGGGTCCTTCCATCACAGAGCCCAGAGTCTCAGAAGACAGACATTAAACTACCACTCACATAGGTAAATATATAAGTACCTGGTAAGAAGTGATTTGAAGGAAAAGTATGCACCCTAGAGCTGCACAGTCTAATATGTAGCCACTGGCCATATATGACTATTTAAATTTAAATCCATTAAAATTAAAAATTCAGTTCTACAGTCTCACTAGCCACATTTCAAGTGCTCATTAGTCACATGTGGTATATCATATAGTGATATATCCATGGTATATTAGATCAGGATATATATGTATATATAAAACTTTTCCATAATCACAGAAACTTCTATTGAACAATGCTGCTGAAGGCCTATCTAGAAGGAAGGCTTCATTAAGACGTAGAGGTGGGGGGACCTGCAAGTCAAGTCAGAAGCAGACTCTGCAAGGAAAGGAAATTAGAGTTAAGTATTAAGGAATTGTAGGAATTGTCTAGGTTTGGGGGACTGGCCAATTCCTACAACTGGGGAGAAAAGGCAGTAAGAATCCTGGAGAACCCACAGAATAGATGAAGCCTAATGATTGAGGAGTAGAGTGGATACATATACAAAGGCTGAAAAGCAAGGTAGCAGCCAGGTAGGGAGGGTCTATGCAGGTCATACCAAGGATTTTGAATTTTTTCCTAAGAGCAACAAGAAGACAGTTTCCTAATATTAAAGCATGGCCAGGTTCCTAGTTTTAAAAGGCCACTCAATCTTTGTGCTTTTATACAGGAAGGAGAAAAGACTATAAAGATTCTTTTTCAACATATTTTAACCGTAATATTATGTTTTTGAAATCTGTCAATAAATACAGATCTAGTTTATTTGCTTTAACTGCAACAAAGTATCCATTGTATGGACAAACTACAGTTTGTGTACATTTTAAAACATACAAAGCAATATATTATATTAAGGATCTATACATGGAGGCAAAAGCAAATAAGCATTTATAGGAATGATATATACCACCTTCAGGGAAAAGAGGGAGGAAAAAAGGATGGGAGGAGGGGAAAGAGATTGAGTTCTATTTGTACTGTTTCCTTCTTTTAAAAGAGGTCTGAAGAAAGAAATGGAAAATACTCATCTCTGTAAAATCTATAAAAAACCTAATGTTTATCTCTGTAAAAAAGTGGTAAGTGATAGTTTTTGGAGTTACATAAGTGTATGTTAACTTCTTCTCTATTAAGTAGTTCGTAGTAATTTAACAAATTAAAGACAGACTTGGGATAAGAGTGACCCTGGGACAACTAGTGAAGAAGAGTACTGCAATGGCTCAAGCCGTTGCAAGAATTGATGGGTACATGAATCAGGATGCTTAAGACAGAGATGGAGAGAAAGAGGTGGATTCAAAAAGTAGAATCAACAAAACATGATGATCAATTGAGTGTAAGAGGGTAGGAAGGAAGGAGATACCAAGAATGAATCTCAAGTTTGTGGGATGAGAACTAAACAAATAGCAATGCCATAGCTTTAGGCTCACAATATTGGAGGAGTTGCAGAATGGTAAGGGGTGGCAAGAAAGATCAATATTCCATTTCAGAAATGCAAATTTCTAGTTGGGCACTGTGGGGCAAACCTGTAGCCCCAGCTACTCAGGAGGTGGAGCCTAGGAGTTTGAGGCCAGCCTGGGCAACACAGTGAGACCCCATCTAAAAAAATTGAAATATGAGGTTTCTTATACTTCTGTCATTGAGATGACAGATGGCAGATGGCAACATGAATTTGGATCTTAGCAGAAAGGTCTGAGCTAGAGATATAAATGTGGGATAACAGGTTGTATTAAGTTTGCATGAAATAACCTATGGAAAAAACATGAGGTAAAAAATATTAAAATATTAAAAATATTATGGGTAGTTGAACTGGTACAGAACTGCATTTCCTCCACCATGACTCTAGCCATAGTAACTTCAAAAGTGGGCTAAGGACATAAATAGACAATTTTCAAAAGAAGATACACAAATGGCCAACAAACATATGAAAAAATGCTCAACATCACTGATGATCAGGGAAATGCAAATCAAAACCACAATGCAATACCATCTTACTCCTGCAAGAATGACCATCATAAAAAAACAAAAAAACAGGCCAGGCGCAGTGGCTCACGCCTGTAATCCCAGCACTTTGGGAGACCAAGGCGGGTGGATTACAAGGTCAGGAGATCGGGACCATCCTGGCTAATATGATAAAACCCCATCTCTACTAAAAATACAAAAAATTAGTCGGGCATGGTAGCGGGCGCCTGTAGTCCCAGCTACTCGGCAGGCTGAGGCAGGAGAATGGCGTGAACCTAGGAGGTGGAGCTTCCAGTGAGCCAAGATCTCACCACCTCACTCCAGCCTGGGCAACAGAGCAAGACTCCATCTAAAAAAAAAAAAAAAATTCAAAAAACAGTAGATGTTGGCATGGATGCAGTGAACAGAGAACACTTCTACACTGCTGGTGAAAATGTAAACTAGTACAACTACTATGGAAAACAGTGTAGAGATTCCTTAAAGAACTAAAAGAAGATCTACCATTTGATCCAGCAGTCCCACTACTGGGTATCTACCCAGAAGAAAAGAAGTCATTATATCAAAAAGATACTTGCACACGCATGTTTATAGCAGCACAATTCACAATTGCAAAAACATGGAACCAACCCAAACGCCCATCAATCAACAAGTGGATAAAGAAACTGTGATGTGTGTGTGTGTGTGTGTATATATATACATATATATATATGTATATATACATACATACATACATATATATGATGGAATACTATTCAGCCATAAAAAGGAATGAATTAATGGCATTTGCAGTGACCTGGATGACATTGTAGACTGTTATTCTAAGTGAAGTAACTCAGGAATGGACAAGCAAACATCTTATGTTCTCACTCACAAGTAGGAGCTAACCTATGAGTATGCAAAGGCATAAGAATGACACAGTGGACTTTGGAGACTCAGGGGGGAAAGGGTGGGAAGGAAGCGAGGGATAAAAGACTACAAATAGGGTGCAGTGTACTACACTGCTTGGGTGATGGGTGCACCAAAATCTCACAAATCACCACTGAAGAACTTACTCATGTGACCAGACACCACCTGTTCCCCCATAACCTATGGAAATTAAAAAATTAAACACACACACACACACACACACACACACACACACACACACAGTGAGATACCACCTTATCCCAGTCAGAATGGCCATTGTTAAAAAGTCACAAAATGATAGATGTTGGTGTGGATGTGGTGAAAAGAAACGCTTATACACTGTTGGTGGGAATGTCATTTAGTACAATCTCCATGGAAAACAGTATGAAGATTTTTCAAGGAACTAAAAGTAGATTTACAATTTGATCCAGCAATCCCACTACTGGGTATCCAACCAGTGGAAAATAAGTCATTATGTAAAAAAGATACCTGCACTCATATGTTTATTGCTACATAATTCATAATTGCAAAGATACAGAATCAACCTAAGTGCCCATCAACTGCTGAGTGGATAAAGAAAATGTGGGATATATATATATATATATATATATATATATATATATATATATATATATATATATCACTCGGCCATAAAAAAGAACAAAGTAGTGTCTTTTGCAGCAACTTGGATAGAACCGGAGGCCATTATCCTAAGCAAAGTAACTAAGGAACAGAAAACCTAATACTGCGTGTTCTCACATACAAGTAGGAGCTAAGCTGTGGATACAGAGGGGCATATAGAGTAGCATAGTGGACACTGGAGGCTCAGAAAGTGGGTGAGTGGGAAGGGGATGAGGGAGGTAAAATTAACTATTGGGTACAATGTACACTATTTGGGTGACAAGTACACTAAAAGTCCAGACTTCACCACTATACAATTTATTAATGTAACCAAAAACCACGTGTACTCCTAAACCTATTGAAATAATAAATGAATGAATGAGTAAAAGAAAGTAGTCTTATTTTAATGATGGAGTATGTGGAGCACAGAGACTGATTAACCTCATTTAAAAAAAATAAGTGCTCAATAAAATGACATCATCATCATCATAATATTTTTATTGCAATTCTAATTTCATTAGTAGAAAATATCTACTTAATATACCCCAGACCATTCATACACACAAGAGATAGGTCTAGATGGGATGCCAAGTGGAACAATACAAGTGTTACTTTCTTAAGCTTCAAAAGTAAAAGGTTTTGGTCATTTAATATTTAAATATCAAACTACTCACATTTTGCAGCTGAAGTATTCTAATCCTGAAATAAGCAATGAGCTTCATTCTGGAATAAGAAGAAAATATATGAGAACTCTCTTACAAAAATAGCAATTCTACTGCTAAGAGAAAAAAAAACATACTCTTGTTGCCAGTTGGTTTGCTGATAAGATGAAGTAGTTGAAAGAATGGTGGTTAAAGTTGCTAGTTGCTTTATCCAAATGATGCTGAAACACTCTGCATCCCTTGCTCTACAGCATTAGGACTCCCTTGTCATGGATGTTAAATGACCCACACAACAGGAATTGCACTTTTGAATGTAGCATTTGTATTGCCTGAGATAAAAGATGGGAGGCAACAGTGAATGGCTAAAAACTCTAAGCTATTATTAATATTAACAAGCTGATGTCAGGACGTGCACATAAACCTTTCCATTTTACTTGATTTTCACAAAAATCAGAACATTACATTTATTTTGCATATTTATTTAGGTTGAAATTATCTTTTGTTCACCTGTTGATCTATGAAGAAAACAATACCCACACATTGTATCTCTGATTTTAAAGGTCCATAAATAATCTTATGGGATAAGTGTCATCAAATTAACGAACAATTTCTTTTTTTGAGATGGATTCTCATTCTGTCACCCAGGCTGGAATGCAGTGGCATGATCTTGGCTCACTGCAACCTCCGCCTCTCGCATTCAAGCGATTCTCTTGCCTCAGCCTCCTGAGTGGCTAGGACTACAGGCACACAATACCATGCCCGACTAATTTTTGTATTTTTAGTAGAGATGGGGTTTCACCATGTTAGCCAGGCTGGTCTTGAACTCCTGACCTCAAGTGATCCACCTGCCTTGGTCTCCCAAAGTGCTGGGATTACAGGCATGAGCCACCCTGCCCGGCCAAATGAGCAAATTTTTAAATAAGTTAGTTATTTCCTTTTCTAGAGCTCCAATTAATCTTCCACTGTCATTTTACAGCTTCCTATTTATCACAATTTTTATGGATAAAAACTTTCTCTGTCTTCCCTTAAAGATACTATAAAGATTTTTATGACCCCCACCCCCAATCTCTACCAGAGAGGGCCTTCAACACACATTCATCTGGGCTTTCAAGTAGTTGTCTTTGGCTGCGTTCTCCAACAAATGAACCCTGAGACAAGTAAGATATTGGGGAGGCAACCTCTAGAAGCACTGGTAGGGGAGAGGAGAAGGAAAACAGGAAAGGGAAAGGGGAGATCACTGGATAGATTGCTGCTATGAGCAGCTGGATATCACTCCAGCTTGAGACCTCTGGCGATGATCTAGAACATGTCTCTGAACCTGAGGGGCACAGAAATTAGCATATTCCTCATGTTAGTCATTGGCTGAGGGTGTTCCTTGAGGCTTAATTGCTTGGCACACATGGCCTGTCCAGTGCATGAACAAGTCTGCTTCCATAGACAGAGAGTCCAGTATTTGCAGTAGAAAGCCTTTGAGAGTTGTATTTGTTTCCAATGACTACAAACTTAGTGGCTTAAAACAACATAGATTTATCATCTTATAATTTTTTGAGAGCAGCAGTTTAAAATGTGTTAGTAGGGCTGCATTCCTTCTGGAAACTTTAGGGGACAATCGGTTTCCTTGACTTTCCCAGCTTCTGCAAGCCACCTAGATTCCTTTGCTCATGGCCCTTCTTTCATTTTTAAAGCTCTATCTCTTTCTCTGATTCTGACCTTCCTGCCTTCCTATTATAAGGATCCTTGTGACTGCATTGGGCCTATCCAGATAATCCAAGATAATCTCCCCATCTTAAAATCATTAACTTAATAATGTCTACAAAGTCCTATTTTTCATATAAGGCACCATATGCACAAGTTCTGATGATCTGGACATGAATATCTTTGAAGGCCAATTGTTCTCTACCTACCACAGGGGATACAACAATCTTTTTTTTTAATTTTTTTATTTTTTTGAGACGGAGTCTCGCTCTGTCACCCAGTGTCACCCAGGCTGGATTGCAGTGGCGTGATCTCTGCTCGCTGCAAGCTCCGCCTCCCGGGTTCACACCATTCTCCTGCCTCAGCCTCCCGAGTAGCTGGGACTACAGGCTCCCACCACCACGCCCGGCTAATTTTTTGTATTTTTAGTAGAGACGGGGTTTCACCGTGTTAGCCAGGATGGTCTCGATCTCCTGACCTCGTGATCTGCCCGCCTCGGCCTCCCAAAGTGCTGGGATTACAGGCATGAGCCACTGTGCCCGGCCGATACAACAATCTTGAATGGCCAGGGGATATGTGGGACTCCAACGGGTTTCCTTCCAAAGATAGCCATTGGGGGATAAATGTGATTAGTTGGTCTTTGAATTCTTTATAGAAGGCAAAAGTAGGTGCTGCATAAATGACTGTTACTTTTATTCAATTAATAAAGACTGGCATTCTCCAGGTCTCCTGTAATGTTGAAAACCCCTAATACACATAATATCAAGGGGGATATCTGGTTGTTATTTTAGCATTAGACTTAAAATGTTTTGATGCCCAGGATCACAGAGGAAAATAGAAAGCTACAATTTCTATTTCATGTCAGTTTTATGGGGAAACAAAAAGCCTCAAGACAATCACATCTTTTTTTTAGGGGCCCATCTAATTTCAAGAAGTTTCATAGAAAAGCAAAAAAAAAAAAAGTTTTCCTGGGGAACATTGCTGTTCTGATTATGTAAACAAAAACAGCAAGCATCCACACAAGTGTCGAGAAATATAGGGAGATGAAAGTCAGAGTAAAGATTTTGCCTGCCATGATGGCCTCCTGCAAGATGAGCCAATAGCTTCAAAATCTGGAAATCTTAATTCTTGCTGAAAAGAATAAAGATGAATAAGCAGGAGGGGAAGAAACTGCAGCAGTCACCAACAAAAAGGGATAGCTATCCTTGCTGTTCTCTCTTTCCCTCCTTTCAAAAGGGGCTTTGAGAAAATTATTTCCATATTCTTTTTATGGTTCTAGAATAATATATTGAGTACTCTATTTCTGGAATAATTTATCTAGTGCTTCATATAAATGCAAGTCTTATGCTAGGTGTGTAAATTCGGAGGTGGGCAAGAATTGGGCTCTATTCTCAAGCTGATCAGTCCAGTTTGAGTAGATAAAGTTAAACAATTTCAGAACATTGTGATACTTCCTATTTGTGGAAAATTGAATTATTTGTCCCTAGTTTCTCACTCAACTGAAGTAGCATTATATACTCACACTCTTACTTCCCTGACCTCTTGACATTGGGTTTGGCCATGTGACTTGTTTTGGACAATTGGATGTTAGTGGCTATAATACAACCAGAGGCTTGAAATGTGTTTGCTCTATTGAGTTTGTCCTTTTGCAGTCTGGTGCATTGCCACAAGAAGGATATGCCCCACACAGTTACTGTTTCTTGATCCTGGGTATCTGAATGGGACATGTGGGGTTCACCCATGCTCTGGGTAGCCACTGGTCCAGGGAAGATACGACACATGTCAAACAAAACTGGATTCAACCTAGAGCCTAGATCTTGAGATCTGGAACCTAAAGCCTGGAACCTGGAGCCTGGATACCAGCCTAGCCCAGTCTAGTTGCACCCAAACCACAGAATTGTGAGCACTAGAACAAATGACTGTTGCTTAAAGGTATTGACTTTTGGGGTGGTTTGGTATGAAGCATTATTGTGATACACTATTATAGAAGCTGGGGATGGGGAACCCAGAAGGTGGAAGAAGGGAAGACTAGCGATCAGTACTTAGAGAAATCAAAATGGTAGCTGAGAAACAAAATGAAACACACAAAAATAGGAGAAAACATAAGAATCTTCCCATGGTAGTGCCCTCCCTTCCTTAAATAATAGAGCGCCAAATGAAGTCTTCCAAGAACTGGGTCATCCTGGAGACTGCAGACATAAAAGATGAGATGTGGTCCTGATCTGTGCCCCATGGGACCTCTCAGTGAGACCTCTTCTCTTCCACCTCTGCTCTGGGTCTCAAAAGGCCTTTTATAGAAATTAATTGGAAAGGAATCACAACCTAAAAAGCTCCACTTAGGCCGGGCATGGTGGCTTACGCCTGTAATCCCAGCACTTTGGGAGGCCAAGGTGGGGTGGGTCACCTGAGGTCAGGAGTTCGAGACCAGCCTGGCTCACATGGAGAAACCCTGTCTCTACTAAAAATGCAAAAATTAGCCAGGTGTGGTGGCAAGCACCTGTAATCCCAGCCTCTTGGGAGGCTGAGGCAGGAGAATCACTTGAACCTCAGAGGCGGAGGTTGCAGTGAGACAACATCATGCCACTGCACTCCAGCCTGGGCAACAAGAGGGCAATTCCATCTCAAAAAATAAAAATAAATAAATAAAAAGCTCCACTTAAAGAAGCCAAAGGGCAGAGCTTTTTTTTTTTTTATCGTTTAGTACCTGTATGTGATAATCTTCTCCTTGTGAAATTTGAAAAAATGACTCTAAATGACAAAACCAGTTTGCTACAGCAATACAAGTCCCAGCGTTAGGCACAGATACGGGATCATATTAATATGTTTTTGCTGCAATGAAAGCTTTTCAGTCACTGTAGTTCTCAGTAGCCTCATTTTAAAATGTGGAAACTAAGCTGGCAACCACTAACAGAAAAAATGCTATAGTCTTCTGACTGGATGTAATTTCAAAAAAAATCTGGAAATCTTTTTCTAAAAGCCCCTTAAATCATAGTATATAGGGGCCTATCATCCTTGTATAGTTTTTCTACTGATTAGATTTCTATATTTCAGTGAGACAAGTATATAAAACTACATCCCAGGTAATACTTTTGAAATACTCATCTCTGTCAAACCCACATTGCAAATACATTAAAAAATGAGTAAAGATGTCTATGCTAAGGTCTACATGGAAATATGAGGATGGGAGAATACATGTGTATTCAAGTGAATGTATATGCTAGGATCTCTGAAATATTGTTTCTGTCTTGAGTTGATTCCTTTCAAGCTTGAGTTACAGTTTGTGTGTATGTGCGATGCCCCTGAATTACTAGCTTGTATCATCTGAGCACAAGGTAGAGATTAAGAAGATGTCCTCTACACTTCCCCATGCACGCATACACACACGCAACTGGAAGGAAGTCAAAAAAGAGAGTGCTCCCAAAGGTCAGCGCAGTCAGCCCTGAAGAGGGAGGTCTCCTCCCTCACTACCTAACTATTCTGCATTTTCTGCTTTATCTTTCCCACTTTCACCTCCAAGCCCTGCACCAGGGTCTGCAAGTTTATCAAGTGAATCACACCCCAGAAGCCCTGTCAAGGCTTGCCCTTTCTTATCAAGCCTCCTAGCTCAGACTTTGAAAGATGCATAGTACACGCGGGTGGAGAAAAGGTCATTTTGAAAAGGGTTTTAATCAAATACGCCACACCAGTCACCTAGAGCCAAGTTGTTTTATGTGGGTGATTACACAACGACTCTTCAGTTCTTTCTGTTTCTCTTTCTTTCAGTAACTTCTTTGTGGCTCCAATTGAGATCTTCAGAGTGAGCCTTCACTATTTAATCTAGCAGCTGACCACAAACCATGTCACAGGCAGAAAAACAGAAGCATAAGGACTAACTCATCCTGAATTAATGAAAACTCTTGGAGGAAAGGGTTTTTGGTGTGTGTGTGTGTGTTTTTAAAGATCTTACAAGGAAAGCAAAACTTCAAATCAAAAGAAAGCTGTTGTCAGCTATGAAGGCAGCACTGGCAAAGTTCAGGAGACTAGCTGAACTCATTTTAAGCAATTCAATATAAAGGTGACTCCTTTCTGCCCTTTCTCACTTGGTTTCCCTCCTTCTGAATGAAAGTGTCCCTACTGTGACAGGTGAGGACAGAGCTCTTGAGTTGAAATATCTGCAAATGGTCTGTGTGACCTTGGATAATTGTTTTGACAAACATGAGACCACATCTTTGTATGGTATAAGTTCATAAAGACCTGTTTCAACATAAGCAAATAGAAGCCAAAATATAAGGAACGCATTGTATGTGCAGGGTTTGTATCATTGGAAGGTCAGACCATGAAGAGGTGGATTTGGCCTTTAGTTGCTGACTCCCACCCCAACACCAGCCCCATTCCCCAGCCTTCTCTAGGAAGCCAGCTCCCTACCACACTCTCCCCATTCTTGCTCTCAGTAATTTCTCCCCATTTTTAAAAAAACATAAATCTATACAATTTGTCCTTAATTGAAATGAGCCAGAGTCTCCCCCCTCACTGCCTTCTTATTCTGCATTTTCTTCTTTTTGTTTCCCACTTCCAACTCTCATTTAAAACAATCCTGGTAGTGGCGAGGTATAGTAGAGCACCAGTTCCGAAGCCTCAATCTGAATCTCATCTCGCCACCTAGTGGCCACGTAACCCTTGGCAACACACCTTTGGAATTGCACTTTTTCAGTTGAAGTGCGGTGATAAACAATTTTGCAAAGAGGAGTATTTTATAATAAAGTGAAATAATACATGTGGAATTGTTTTGAAAATTATCTATTACTAATGTGAAGTTATGATAACTAGTAAGTCCCCTTTTTATTGGGAGTTTGGGTTGGGATTTTCTCTTACTTGAAAATATAAGCACCACAAACACAGCTTCTAATTGATATTCTGTTTAATCTTCTGCCCCTTCCACCCCTTCATTCCATCTTCTGCCATCCAGGACTTAACTCAGATCAAGATTAACTCAGACCAAGATTCAGGAACAGAGCTAAGTCCTTAAGTGGCAAAGTCAAACCAGGAATTTGACTAACATGAAGAATTGGGAAGAACCACCTGGTGGCACTGAACCTCGTAGTAAATCCAAAGAAAAGGTAACTTTAAAGGATTCTGGAAGATGAAGCAACAGGCTGAGACAACAGGAATGGGAAAGAAAGTCTCAAACAGAGCTTTGCAGTGTGTCTGAGATCAGCCCCAAAGACCTTGTTTTCTTAAGGACATCTGACTGAAATGTATTTGGACTCAGCTGTGGATGTTCTGTAGAAGCAAGAAAAAAAAATGGTTTTTTTACTGAAGAAAAAGTACAATTCTGTAATCTTGTTCTGAATATGTTTTCTATCCTGAGATTCCTTGCCCATCAGGGAAATAGATTCTTGTACTTTGAACAGCTGCCTGAGAGTGGAATAGAAATTTTGTATAAAGCTGAGGCTCTGAGGAGACCTCAGGGACAGAGTTATATCCCCAAGGCTGTAGCTTTTATCAGTTTTTACCTCTTGTCTGGTGGTTACGGATGCAACTAGCTATGAATACAAAAGGCTTCTGTTTGGACATACTCCTAGCATTTTCTCATAGAAGAATTTTCCCCAAAAAATAATGGCGATAGTGCTGACCACTCAAAAAGTCAGAATCTATCCACTTCTGGCCCTAACCATTCAATCACAAGTCAAAGGGGCATGCATCTGAAGATCTCCTCATATCACTCATACAATGTTCCTTGATAATTTGGCACATGATCATTTTGGCCAAGTGAGTGGACTTGATTTTAAGGACACCAACACTACTGCCCGTTTCCATAGCCACGTACAAAGTGGCCCTGGTCTTCATGCAGTTATAAGCACTTTGAAGTCATCTAGGCATTTCCCTTCCAGTGGGCTAGTAGTCGGGAATTAATTTGGCTTGTGGTCCATATGTTGGGAATATGTAGTTAGGAGTTAAATTTTATTGTGATCAGGGGACTGTAGCAAGTCATTTGCAAAAGAATTGAATTGTCTATCTTTCTTGGACAGAAGTAGAAATGTTTTTAGATAAAAATATGATTATGATTTATTTGGATACAAATTTCATTCTTTCTCTCTCTCTCTCTCACCAAGATATCCTGTTTAGTGTTCTAGCAATAACTGTAGTGTGTAAGCTCCCCCCAAACATGTGAGCTGACGGACTCTAAATCTCTCAAAAGTATTAACTTATTGATCCTTAAACATCCACATCCCATGCTAATTTTAATTTGGTGTTATTTTAAATTAGCAATAAATTGACATATCTTTATACATATATATGCACAAAAAGGATAAATAGTATAACCAAATCAGCTAGTATTTTGCAGGCAATTTGTCTTGAGGCTGATGTTGGGATTAAGTTATAGCCAAATCAAGTAAAGATAAGAAGTACCAACCATCCAACCAATCTGCTCATCTCCTTTACATAGTAAAGTAGCCTCAGGCCATCCAGGCATTTATTCAATAAATCTAGTGTCCCACACTAGAGGGGAGAAAATAGTGACCATTCTCAAGACATGTACAGCCAAGCTGACAGCCTAAAGTGTGCCTCATCCGTAAAGTGGGGATAATACAACCTGCTTTAAGGTGTGTTGTGAAGGTAAAATAAAACAATATGAAATGTGACTAAATGAAATAATATGAATACATAAAATAATGTGAAATATAAAAAATACTGTGAAATCTCATAAGTTATTAAACTTAACAAGCTTAACACTTAACAAGTGTTAGGCATCATTCCTGCCTGTGGGTGATGTTATGAAGAAATTTGGCTAGTGTTCCAGAATGGATTACAGATGGTGAGGTTAGAAACTTATTCTTGGCAATGAGAATCTCCATTCGACTTGTTCCTGTGAAGCTGTGATAGCTATATTAGAAGTCAGTAGGTTAACATTATTTATACTAAAGGTAGTTGAGCTAGATGTAAATGATTAGATGTAAAACTGACAAACAGACCAAAAAGGAACTAGAAAAGTACTAGAAGAGAACATAGGTGTATTTTTAATCATCTGGGGGTGGAGAAAGCACTTCTAAATATGACACAAACTCTAGGGAGAAATATCTGAATAATGATAAATTTGCTTCTTTCAAATGTAACACTTCCACATATCCAAAAATTATAAATGCTAAAATAAAAATGGCAAACTAGGAAAAAATATTTGTTAACACATATAAGAGACAAAGTTCTTTCAAATCACAATGATAAAGATAACTAACTCAATAGATAAATTATCAAGGATGTGAACAATTCACAAAAGAAAAAAACTAAAGCCCAATAAACATTTGAAAATACGGTTAAACTCACTAGCAATTAATAAATTTCAAACAACAATAAAGAAGTAGACATCCATATATCAAAAAGTTTGGCAAAGCTTAAATAAATTAATAATATCCAATGGAGGTTATGAGTGGTTTCCAAGAATATGGTTTCATCTGCACATATTCTTGGAAAAAATATAAATTCATATAACCTTTTATAGTTCAAGTTGGCAATGTATATAACCTCTCAGTGGTATAATCTTTTACCAAGAAATTATTCTTCTAGGCATTTATCCTAAAGTAATATTTGGAATGATACACAAACACATAGATTCTTGTGTATTCACTGCTACTGTAGTAGATAGAATTGAGAATACTCCAAATGTCCACTAATAGAGATTTTGTTAAGTAAATTGTGGCACATCTATTTCCAGGGTTTCTCAACCTCAGCAATGCTGAACTCGTTTGTGAGGGCTGTCCTGTGCAGTGTAGGATGCTGAGCAACATCCCTGGCCCTCACTCATCAGTACCTTCTGCCCAGTTGTAACAACCAAAAATATCTCCAGAAGTTACCAACTGCCCCCTAGCGGGCAAAATCCCCGTCCCCACAACCCCAGCCCCTGGCCGCCGTAAATTAGGAATCACTAATTTAAGTGAATATGATTCAGTCTTTAAAAAGAAGGTATCAGAGCCACACATATTGGCATGGAAAGATAAGCATGTCATATTGTGAAATTACATAAGTGATTGCTGCATATTGTGTACCGTATAATTTGATTTGCATAAATAAAAATAATTTTGCATAATTATCTCTAGGGAAAAATCAGAGAGTCCTGGTAAATCATTGGTCAGCAGCGATGATCCTAAGCCTCTAATCATGGACATGGAGGAATGTCTGTGTTTGATGTGAACGCATCAGATATTCTCTGATTCTCAGGTTCTCTCCTCTCTACACAAGGGCATTCAAATGGGCAAGGATTCATGAGGGAGACATTCAAAACATTACAGAGAATAATTTCATGAAAATATTCTACTTTTCAAAGGGATCTAACTTTGGCTTTAAGGCCATTGTTTTTAAGCTTTTGCAAAATAGATTCATAATGATTTCTAGAAGAATTTTTGTAAGTGTGAAATTCCTTTTTCAGAACCCATCAACTGATATTTAGTTCACCCCTCACCCCTGCCTTTTCTCCAATCCTCTGGGCTTTTTTTCTGCTGTATTTACTTAGTATTTCTCTTTGTTGCATTTCATTCATTTTTGCACTGACCTTTCTTTAAAACAAAGAAAATGCAACCTTGGAACCTCGGAAAGACAAGCCATTTAAAACATGAAGGTCTCTAGTGCTTTTCTCAGGTGCTGATATCTATCTCGTAGACTACAGAGAAGAATAATTTTCCAGCCTTTCATTGTTTAAAAATAGGCAATGGTGATCAGAGTTTTTGGAATTTAAAATGTCTAGAGCTCAGAGAGTGATGGAGGTTGGGAAGCAAATATGAGTTGTCCTGCCTTATCTATCTTTAAATGAAAATAGAGAGGGTGACCACATTAGCTGTTGAATTCTCTAGGTCTTCAGTGTCAAATAAAATAATTTATTTGATTGAGAGATTTCTTTAACAGGAGGCCCCGTCTGTGATAGAAAGAACAAAATTAACTGTTATGCTTCATTTGTTTTCATTATCTACAAAACAGCATGTCTCTAAGATCAAACAGATTTCATTCTTTTCTTCTTAATGCAGCTTTGGCAAGTGTCTCTGAGGAGAGAAAAATCTACTTTCTCTTGCAGGCCAAAGAGCCTGTAGGAAATAAGGTAAGGGGTGCACTGGATTAGGGATTTTAAAACACAAATTAGATAGCATGATCATATTTAAAGGATAAATTGTTCAATAGACATCACACAAACTTCTAGAAATGTCAAATGTAGGAAAGGCGTTCCTGGAAATGATGAAAGAATTAGGTTATTGGAAAGAGAAAGATTAGATGAAAACTAATTATGTGCAAACAAGGAAACCTATATTCTGTTGCGTTGAATGCTCTTTGTATAAGCAATTGAGAATGAGCTTCAGAGTTTTTTCTTCCAGTGGGCTCTATTATTTCATACCAGAAGCAACTTTAAATAATTCAAAAGTGAGTTAGAAGGTAACACACACATAGCAGATTTTTACTAAGAGTAGCTACCTTGCATAATAACCAGCCCTGGAGGGTCTCACTAGGCACCATGGCTGAAAGACCACCTGTATACCAAAAAAGTTTCCAAATCTTTACCTCCACCTCAGCCTCACCTCTGAACTCTAGACTTCTGTATCTCAGGAACTCCTCAACATTTCCTCTTGGATATTTTTGTAGGCGTCTCAAACAACATGCATAAAACTTGCCCTTTGACTTCCATTGCACAGCTGTTGTCCCCAGTGTCCCCATCTTGGTAAATGGCTCCACCATTTTTTTAGTGACTCGAAATCAACCTCGACTCCTCTCCTTCTCTCTTGCCCCCAAGCAGTTAGTTCATCAGCAAAATCCCATCAGCTCTAGTTTCAAACGACACCTGAATCCAATCCTTTCTCACCACCTCCCCACTACCACCATCAGCTTTCTCACCTGAAGATCTACAATGGCTTTCAAATGGTGTCTTTGCCTCCACTCTTGTTTCCCATAGTTCTTCTACCCCTAGAGGTCAAGGAAATAAATTTAATGCATGTCAAATTCAGACATTTCCTTTCTCAAAATATTCCAAGGGCGTTATATCAATAGAAAAAAAGGCCGGGCGCGGTGGCTCACGCCTGTAATCCCAGCACTTTCGGAGGCCGAGGTGGGCGGATCACGAGGTCAGGAGATCAAGACCATCCTGGCTAACACGGTGAAACCCCGTCTCTACTAAAAATACAAAAAAATTAGCCGGGCGCAGTGGCGGCTGCCTGTAGTCCCAGCTACTCGGGAGGCTGAGGCAGGAGAATGACGTCAACCCAGGAGGCGGAGCTTGCAGTGAGCCGAGATCGCGCCGCTGCACTCCAGCCTGGGCGACAGAGCGAGACTCCGTCTCAAAAAAAAAAAGAAAAAGAAAAGAAAAAATCCCAAGTTTTTACCATGGCCCACAAGACTGACTAATTCAGCCCATGGCTACTTCTGTAATTTCATCTACTTCATGTCTCCCTTTTTTGCTACACTCCAGTCACACTGCTGCCTTGCTGTTCCTCTAAACTTCCAAGCACCTCCCTGCCTCAAGGCCTTTCCATTGGCAGGCCCCTCTGCAGGAAATGCTCTTCCATCAGTGAACCCCATGGCTCTCACCCTCACTTCATTCAAGTCTCTGTTCAGTGTCATCTCCCCAGAGCAGCTGGTCTTGGCCATTCTCTCTGAAAGAGCAGTCCTACCACTTTTTGCCCCTTCTCTGTTTTATTTTTCTTCACGTCACTTAATATATTTGTCATTATATATCTATTTGTTTATTAACCTCACATCAACCTTTTTTCTGGATTGTCTGTTGGTAGTCAGAACCATTCCCCCCTCACCTTAATCTGCTCTTTCCACAGGGGCTGGGGACCTGAAAACTACATTCTTCTGAGTCTCTTGCCTACTGTATTCCACTCCAGGTTCTGATAATGAGAATCAATGAGATTTAGAAGGCAAGAGCAAAGTAGAACCATCATTCCTTCTTGGTTGATGGCAGGCAGAATCACAGCACAGATGAGGTTTTGCAGCAGCTTCCTGCAATTCCTGACCTGGTCAGCACTGGCAACATCCTCAATCCATGAAACCTAGTGACAAGACAGGGATCTAGTGTGCGTCTTCTCTGGCTCCTCCCACCTTTCTAATTGTTTTGTAATACTCAATCCTTGCATTAAATTCCTTGAATACCTAGAGTGGTTTCTGCTTTCCTTACAGAATCCTAATACACTGCCTCTGTAAAATGTAATAACTTTGAGGGAAGCTACTTTATCTTTTTCACTCTCAAATCCTTCCCCTTCTCAGCCTGGCTCTGTGACCCTGGAGAGTCTGTGCTCTCTTGCCAACTGGTTTCCACTGAGTACAGCCAAAGTAAGGCACTGCAGAAACATCAAAAAGTGGGAGATACTTCTTATTTCCTTCCCACTTTTCAGTGTCAATAATAAGATTGAAGTTTTCATGGCAGAGGAATGTTCTTCTCTTTTTAACTATATTTTTCTTCACCATTATTTCTGATCATTCTTTCTTACGTTTCTAGTAAATGGCTATGCGTAGCCTCTTTTTTTTTTTTCTGTTTCGCTTATTTTTCCTCTCAAAATGTCCATCTTTTTTTTCTTTTAAACTTTCTCTTCCAGGAAAAGTCCACAATTTTGTCTTCTAAATTACACATTTTCTTTTTAGTCATGTCCAATGTCAAGAGAAATTCTAATAAGTACTTTAAATGATTAGTTATATTTTTAAATATAACTTTTAAAACTATACATATTTGATGTATACAACTTGATGAGTTTGAACATATACATATGCCTGTGCTTATGAAACCATCACCACAGTCAAGATACTAGACATATTCATCACCTCCAAAAGTTGCCTTGTTTCCCCATTCCCTTTTTTTGCCGGTGGTAAGAGCACTTAACTTGAGCTCTACCCTCTTAGATTTTTAACTGTATAGCACAGTATAGTTAACTCTAGGCACAAGGTTGTACAACAGTTCTCCAGAACATATTCATCTTGCATAACTGAAACTTTATGCCTATTGAACAACAACTTCCCATTTCCCTCTACCCCACCCTTTGACAACCACTAATATACTCTCTGCTTCTATGAGTTTAACTGTTTTAGAGATTTCATATAAATGGTGTTATGCAGTATTTGTTCTTCTGTGACTGGCTTATTTCACTTAGCATAATGTCCTCAACATGGATAATGTTCATGTTGAGGATAATGGATAATTATTCATGTTGTCACATATGGCAGGATTTACTTATATTTTAAGGCTAAATAGTATCCCACTGTATGTGTGTGTGTGTGTGTGTGTGTGTATGTATATATATATATATATATATGTGTATATATGTGTATATATATATATATACACATATATATATATCACATTTTCTTTACCCATTCATCCATCAATGGATATTTAGGTTGTTTCCCTATCTTGGCTACTGCGAATTATGCTGCAATGAACATGGGAGTGCAGATATTTTTTTGAGGTCCAGATTTCAGTTCTTTTAAACCTATACCCAGAAGGAGGGTTACAGTTATTTCTAATTACCAAGATCTTGTTTGCTGATAGAATTTTTTATTTAAGCTGTATGTTCTGCTTATGACTGCAATATTTGTTTTAACTTCCTGAGATTATTAATCAGACTTTCAGTTCCTCTTCATTTCATATATACATACATTCATACTTAATCCTGTAGGTTCATTGCTGTGCTGATTTGCTTTGGAGCCCATCTTTCATGCTGTTGGTGATTCTTGGCTGCCCATTCCTGCCTAGAAACAACAATATAAATTGATGAATATTGATACCTAGTGACAGTTTCTTCAGCAACAGAGGATCACTGCTCCCCTGGCATTCCCCGCCCCCACCCCACACTCCCTCCCACATTTCACCTATGAGTAAGAAGTCAGGCTTCCTGTTGTGTCTTGATTTCACCCTTTGTGTGGTGTGTGAGTGGGAAATGGAAAGTGACTTCTCATGAAAGATATATAGCTGGAGGACAGGAGTCTGAAGATGTCTCTCCACCGAGGAAATAGCAAGTTTCTCTGGAGTTGAGTTCTTGAAGGATTTTCACCTCCACCAGAGACAACTTCTCTTTTCTTTACCATGTTAATTGTGGCCACAAGTTCCCTGGACTCTTTTTTCCCCTCTGGCCCTATTGACCATACTAGGAACTCCCAGCAGACACCCACAGTGGTAGTCCCTCTGTAGTCACCCAGCCGCTCCATCAGACACCAAGTAATCTTGTCTGTCCCTCTGCAGCCTTAATCTTTCCTGTGAAATCCTTTCTACTCACTTCTCTGCAGTCTCCTCACCGGCTTGAGTGGGTTTGAGGATTTTCCCCTCTGCTTTTTCCATTAGTACAACTCAATTTTTTAAACTCCCAGATATGCCTCAAAATGTATGATCTGATGGTGACACCAAAGCCTTTTTCCAGAGCTTCCATGAATTTACTATAATTCTTACAATTCTCCAACACATCAATAGAGTTTTCAAGTACAGAAAAGGATGAAGTTTGTCCTCTTGACACAGAAGTAACAAATTAGTATTTTGCAGAGTGTTCTCTTTCATAGGATAGATAAAGTAAATTATTATTTCTTACACCTATAGAATCATGGTAAGGATGTCCCCAAAAACATTTATTTAGTATATTCTCCTTGTTCATTTATTTCTTCATCATTTTTCCCTCTATATGAAAGGTTCAAGATCTTCTATAACAATTTAATTCTAAAGTTCTTTTTGCTACAAAGAGACAATCATCTCATTAGATTAATAAATAATGTGTACAACTCTAATAATATTTTTCTATTAATCTTTAGCAAGGCATGAAATTTAATCTCTTCGGTATAATAAACTTCTGGAATTGATTAGTTCTGACCATGGGACTACATAACAAGGCCTATACTTCTATAAGACATTCTGTGTGGAGAGTTTCATATTAATTTCTGAAGTATTTGGGTTAATGGTATTTCATTAAGGAACCCTTAACAAATGCATAGTGTTCACTTTTACAGAGGGACTTAATGGAAACTTAATGGATTTATTCTATTACTTTGCTCATTTAAAAATGTTCTTTAGTTGGATATTACTATTAATGGACTTATTACACACATACATACATTTCAAGGAGTCCCTCCAATTATTCAGAATTTAAGCATTAAAATTTATCAAATCCAATGGGAAAAGCAAAGATGGAAACAATTACATATTTATATAAGCAACTTTGAGTTTAAGATTGATATTACAAATAAGTAGCTGAGCTCTAATAAGGAAGTTCCTCATATATATTTGTAAGTGAAAAACTGATCACTCATTCTAATTTTTCTTCTTTATACACAAAATTAATTATTCATTCATTTATTAAACAAACATTTGTTTGGTCCTAATAATGTGTGAGCTACTGTGATAAAAAATGAAGGAAGATTTTCAGATCAAATGAAAGAAGAAATAAACAGTTAAATCAATAGCTACACTAGAATGTTTTATGTGCTAAAATAAAACTAAGAACAGGATGCCAAGGAGCAAAGAAGGGAAACTCATCCAACTTGAATGAGAAGGAAGGCAAAGGAATTCCAGAGAAGGTGACATTTGAGTTGATTCTTAAAATTCGGCTTGATGTTAACCAGGCACACAAGAGCAGGAAGGATGCCATAGGCAAAGGAATACTGAAACATGCAACAATGTGTGTTTCAAGAGGTCATAGTGCACAGTGGCATATTGTCATAACTTGAATTAACATAATGGCAATGAGAATGAAGAGAAGAGGATGAATTAAAGAGCTATTTCAGATAGCTTGATGTGCCTTGGATGATTGATCATACGCAGAATGGATTGTTGGAAAAGTCTAGGGCATTTACCAGATTTGTGACTTGAGCAACAACAGCCTGTATGCTGGTGCCATCTGCCATTGTAGGGAATACAGGAGTAAAAGTGGGCTTGTCGAGGGGTGGGAAAAGTACCATCTTGGACATACTTTTAGGAGATTAAAAAATCCAGATGTTCCAGACAGCTGGATATTTGACACAGAAAGAGATTTGAACTGACTATAGAGTAGTGATTATTCATGTTTTCCTTCAGGATATCTCCTTATTACATCTATGAAACCAAATTGTCAGATAGGTAAAAATTTATTTTTGCCATTGGGGAAAAAAACTATTTTCAAAATTAGTGTCTGGTATCCTCATCTGCCATAAAACATGCAGAGCTAGTGTTTAATTAAAGCTTGATCACCAGGGAACATCCCTAAATTAAGATCTACATGGTTCTGTTGAAGAGTAGACATTCCTGAAACATTGAGGGTATGGAAGAGGATTTACTTGGCATTGGTATGACTGGAGAATTAGTTCTGGCAAAGAGGTCGACAGATGACCAGAAAATTGAGGGTTCTAAAGCAAGTGATATGTATGAATGTTCATAGCAGCATTATTTATAATAGCCAAAAACTGGAAACAACACAAATGTCTATCAACTGATGAATACATAAATAGAATGAGGTATATCCACACAATGGAATGTAATTCAGCAGTAAAAATGAATAAAGTAGTGATACATGCTACAACATGGATGAAACGAAAACATTATGCTAAGAGAAGGAAGCCAGTATGGTATGATTCAATTTATACGAAATGTCCAGAACAGGCAAATCTATAGAGACAGAAGATAGATTATGAAAAGTAGATTAGTGGTTGCCTAGGGCTGGTGGGGAATGGAGGAGTTTGGAGGGAAATGGAGGACAGTTGCTAAAGGGTGTTGGGTTTCTTTGGGGAGTAATGGAATGTTCTAAAATTGATTGTGGTATTGATTATACAACTCTGTGAATGTACTAAAAAAGTACTGGATTCTATGCTTTAAATGGGTGAGTTGTATGGTGTGTGAATAATATTTCAATAAAGTTGTTACAACAAAAGAGTTTTATAGTCTTATTTCACAAATGAATATTTCAGTAACTATTTATTCAGTGCCTACCAAAAAAAGCAAATACTATTCATATGATGGATTATTAAGGGGAAAAAACAAGTTGCAGAGTAATGAGTATCTTAGAAACCTATTTTATAAAAATAAACGTCAAGGAAAGCCTTATATGTGTGTATTTACATTTGTGTAAGCATGTGAGATTTATGGAAGAATAAATACATTGCTTTCAAAAACAGAAATAGGGGAAAAAAGTGGACTATTAGCTTTTTAAAACATATGTCTGCATATTTTTCTGTTCTTAAGATGAGCAGGTTATATTTTTATATTTTAAAAAGTGCAAAAATGTGTTAAAAAACAAAACCAAATGTGACTCCAGGTTTTGAGCCTCCATATAGGGGCAACATTCCTCTCTTGCAGGTGTCCTTCATTAAGTGCCCACTCCGGCCCTCGGCCCAAGCTAGAGCAACTAATTCCAGTCCAACCCAACCCTGAATCCATGGATAGAAGACTCATCCATGCTTAGAAATGGATAGAGAGAGAGAAAGGAAATAATAGTAATAATAATAAAAGCAATGATAGGGTATTTGGAGATATTTTTAATGCTTTTTAAATTTTTATTTTTAATTGGCAAATAATACTTTTTGACGAGCACCTACTCTATGCCTGAAACTTTATATCCATCATCTAATTTATATCCTCGTAACAAACTGAGGAGATAGGTAATCTTATCTCCACTAAACATACAGAGATTGTCAGACTTGGGGAAGTTAGGTAATTCACCCAAGGTCACAGAGCTGTGAAATTAGAAAGAAATATGTGGCTGCCTGGCTCTTCTCCAAATCTCAATAAGCTTTGTGTGTTAAAGGGCATTGAATCCACGATCATATTTAGAGTAGAGGGGCAAGCCGCCCCTCAAAAAAAGATACTGGATCGACTTACATGGGGTAGTAATGTCCCTTATCAATAAGATAAAGTCCTAGTCAAAACCAAGAAGGAAGAAACTTGGTAGAAACTCAGTGTTTCAGTCTCAGCCAACATGGAAGAATATAGAGTAGAAATATAAAAAACCAAGAGGAACAATGAAGTCTGGGAAGTAGCCTTGAGTTCATGAGTATTTGGGGAAACAGGAAGTTAATCTTTTTTTTATTATACTTTAAGTTTTAGGGTACAAATCTTAAAGGGACTGTAACTTTGGGAGCTTTCTGAACACCTCAGACTTTTCTCTGAGGATAATGAGATTCAGGCCATTTTGCAGTAAAAGCAATTTCCATGAAAGGAATGTACAAAAGCCATAGTCACGACTGGAGTACCAGTAAAGTGATTTAATTCTACGCCCTACCACATAGGAGCAAAATTCCAATACAGAGCATGTAGTGAAGTTCCAGCTAGTCCAGGATGTGGCTGTGTCTCCTGGGCCACTGGCCCTTCGGAGATAGGCTGGAACTAGCTTGTACCAATTTGCATAGAACTGATTGTGCACATCTCCCAACCCCATGTTCAGTGATATCACATTTGTAGTTTGTAATCATGCATGCTGGAAACATTGATACCTTGAAAACTGGCAAGTGATCCAAATCAGGGCTTTTTCCTAAAGACTGACTCTAGTTATTAACATGGATGGAAAGTGGTGAGGGAGTTTTGAGCACCTGGGAGTGGAGACGGGAGGGATGAAAAGGTAAAGAAGATGATATGATATCCATTCCTCAACCTGATTTGAGCAAGGGGATCTGAATCAAATAGAGGGGGCTTTACACAGCAGGAACATTGGGACATAAGCAGTACTATCTGGGTATCCAAGTTGTGACTTAGAGCAGGGCGGGAGCATTCTGTCACGTGTTTGTTCATTTTGTAGAAGATGGCTTCAGAAGTGCAATGATGTCTGAAGGAAACAAGTCCTATATAGCATCTTGAGGGTTTCCTTTCCCATCTTTGGGAATACTTCTGACAGCACCAGTGATAATGTCAGTGCCTGGTTGCATTTCTTCAAAGTTGCAACCAAAGACTGAGGAGGGCTCATTCATGAGACGGTGTGAGATACTCCTTGTGGACTCTCAGAAATAACCAAAGTTGACTTTGAGGGAAAGGCTGGAGGTCTGGTGTCAGCAGATAGGGACTATGATCCAGCTATATTTGGGCATTAATAATAATGTTACCTCATTTCTACCCCTGCTTGTAAGACCTGGGGAATTTTGGGTTATGGTTCTATTGTATGCCCCTTGAGATTTGGTTCAGATTGTGCCTCGCTGGAGCCCACAGATTTGGTTCACAGTTGGTTGTGTGATAGGCAGACTTCTAAGATGGTCACTGGTGATTCCCACTTTCTGGTGTTCACACCCCTGTATACTTCCTTCCTGATAAGAGGCTCACGCCTGTAATCCCAGTGCTTTGGGAGGCCGAGGCGGGCAGATCACCTGAGGTCAGCAGTTTGAGACCAGACTGGCCAACATGGCGAAACCCCATCTATACTAAAAATATAAAAATTCGCCGGGCATGATGGTGTGCACCTGTAATCCCAGCTACTTGGGAGGCTGAGGCAGGAGAATCGCTTGAACCCAGGAAGCAGAGTTTGCAGTGAGCTGAGATCGTGCCACTGCACTCCAGCCTGGGAGACAAGAGCGAGACTCCATCTCAAAATAAATAAATAAATAAATAAATAAATAAATAAATAAATAAAATGAAAATAATAAATAAAATAAAAAATAAAGAGTGGGCAGAAAACAGTGACTAGAATATGGAAAAGGATGAGATGTCACCTCAGCAGGCTTTCTTTATTGCCTACTTAGCTTGCACACTTTGATAAAGTAACTTGCCATGTTGGAAAAGCCCAGTTTAAGGAACCGAGGGAAGCCTCAGGCCAACAGCCAACAGGGAACTGATGCCTCAGTCCAGCCGCCCTTGAAGAACTGAATCCTGATGACAACCACGTGAGTGAGCTTGGATGCAGATCCTTTTCTACTTGAGCTTCAGGTAAGAAAAAATCATAGCCTTGATTGGCACCTTAATTACAGGGTTGTAAGAGTCCCCAAACCAGAGGACCCATATACCTAAGCTATGCCTAAATTCATGATCGCATAAACCATGTGTTATTTCAAGCTGCTAAGTTTTGGGGTAAGGTGTTATGCAGCAGTAGATAAGGAATACAGGCTGGGATGGAGGCCACAGATGTTTGTGCATTCTGTTTCAGATGGACACTAACACTCAATCATAAATCTTACTGCAAAAAAAGGATAGTTAAAAGATGGCAGGCTATTAAGAAAAAAATACCCAGGAGTGTAAAGAGATACAGTGACAAACAGATAGACTTTGGAAAGTCAGGGAAACCTAATTTCAAATTCTGGTTGTCAAGCACAAGGTAAGGCCAAGGCCTGGCATATTTGACCAGTAAAGAAACATGAATCCTTTTTAGATTCAGGCAATTTATTACATAGACACTGAAAGGAACAATAGCCAAAGATGTCAGCTCCCCATGGCCTCTACTGAGAGAAACAGTGAAATAAAAGGGATTCAATGACTGCAACACGAATGATTGGACATTTTCATGTCTATAGACAAGAATCCTTTTGCATTGCTGTCAGTTATCTACAAGTGAGAGTCGTAACTGAACTCCCACAGAATCAAAATTGATAAAGGCATGTGGGTTACCACTGAAGTACAAATTTTTCCTTGCATCACTATGCCAAGTGCTATGAGGATATTAACTCATTCAAAATTCTCAACAATCATGTAAGAATGGTAATATTATTATCAGCATTTTTAAAAGAAGAAACCTAAGCCACCCAGAAATTAAACAGCCAATCAAAGTCACACAAAGTGAGTGGCAGAGCCAGGCTTTAAACTGGGTCTATTATCTTAGTCACCATGCTCTTCTGCCTTTCCGTGGTAAGCCAATTAACTTGATTGGACAAAGGTCCTAAGAAAGGAACTATTGAAAAAGGGAAGCTCCCAACTATTAAGGTTAAGAGCTCTAGAGAACTGAGAAGGGATGAAATTCAGATGCTTACATTGTTCTTCATCTTCCAGAAGCTGCTAGGCTTGTTGTCCTCTATGAGGCAGAAAAGAAACTAAAAGCAAAACAAAATAAAACTTGTTTAAGGGGCAGCGTTTTATTCCCTGTGTAGACAAGAAAACCGAGATACACAACAGGTGCTGTTCCCTACATGCCGGCAAGTTGTGAACAGCCCAACAAACTTCTAAGAAGAACCTTTGTCATGTGGTAGTCACATTTCCTCTTAGGACAACCAAGGGGGCTTCCTCAGTGGCAGGTACTTATGAGCTTCTGTTGCTGCCCTTAAGGCTCATTTACTTTCAATCTTAGAGACAGGAAACACTGGAAACCTCAACTTAGCACAGATACACCTTCTCTCCCTAAAGAGTGCTTCTCAGTAGGGACCAGGGGACATTTGGCAATGTCTGGGGATTTTCGGTTGTCACAACTGGAAGGGGGCATGCTACTGGCATTTAACGGGTTGAAGCCAGGGATGTTGCTAAACATCCTACAGTGCACAGGACAGCTCCCATCACAACAAAGGATGGTTAGGAAACCCTGCCCTGTAGGCAGCAGTGTCCTGAATCACTGACTCAGACACCACTCAGAACGTCTCCAGGGAAAGAAGTACATAGGGGAGGAGGGGACAGGTTGATGAGTAAAAGCAAGCATCACCGGCATCATCCTTTAGTGAAATGAGTTCTTCAAAACAGTCAAGATGAATCAATGGAGTCCTGAATTAGTTTCTATCTTAAATTATTGAATTTACATATCTCCTAGAAAAATCAGGCATCTGGCTCATGGCTGGAGCCAGTAACTGAGAATCATGCCATACAATTTAGAGTCTAAGCAACCTTTCTTCCCATGCCTGCAACATTCTCAATCAACAAATAGGATCATCAGACACTTTGCAAAATATCCAGACATCCATTTTTCTGGTTTCCAAATAGACACAGAAATATGGAAACCCTGAACTGCTTCACTATTCAGCAGCAAAATTGATTTACTGAGAGCCCACAAGCATAACCACTTTAACTTAACAGGTGCATTAGTATAATTTGAACGGCATAATAGCAAAGCCAAAAAAGCCATTCAGTCATTGACAGATACAAACAATCCCAAGAAATTAAGGAATAACAGCCTCCCCAGAATAAAACTCAAACATACATTTAAGAAATAAAATAGGCCGGGCGCGGTGGCTCACGCCTGTAATCCCAGCACTTTGGGAGGCTAAGGCGGACGGATCACGAGGTCAGGAGATCGAGACCATCCTGGCTAACAATGTGAAACCCCGTCTCTCTACTAAAAACACAAAAATTAGCCGGGCGTGGTGGTGGGCGCCTGTAGTCCCAGTTACTCGGGAGGCTGAGGCAGGAGAATGGCGTGAACCCGGGAGGTGGAGCTTGCAGTGAGCCTAGATTGTGCCACTGCACTCCAGCCTGGGCAACAGAGCGAGACTCTGTCCCAAAAAATAAAATAAAATAAAATAAAATAAAATAAAATAAAATAAAATAAAATAAAATAAAATAAAATAGTCCTACCAACAAAAGACCCTTCTGTACCAATATAGAAGAGACAGGGAACACAATTTTTTAGAGTAAGCCCTACCAGATTTACTTGCATGTAAGGTAGCTCAAAAGTACCTACAGCATCTTGACAGAATTTGATCCAAGTTTCTACAGTGAGGCAGAAGAAAGAATAATTCAATCTTGTCTTATCTCCTTGAGAGATAAATTGATTTACCTTGCAATAGTTTCCTGTACACTTCATGAGACAGTTAATTTTGGAGGTATATGTTTATGTTACCAAGGAACAGAAGGCCTCAAACCTTTCATTGTAAAGTAAAAAGGTTGGCCCACTCATTGGCCCTATTATGTTTACAAGGAAACACTCTAAGAGGAGGGTGGGGAAGCAGCCGTCCCTTCATCCCTCAAAGAAAATTTTATCATTTTATCCTTATGTGTACAGAAAAATGACAAATGAATAAGTATATGTTTAGCCCCAACTAAGTACTAGGCATTTAGAGTACAGTCAATTCTCACTACTTACAGTAGTTAATGTTCTATAAAGTCACCATGAACACTGAATGAGCAAATACAGAACCATTGCTCCTAAGGGAAATACCGGATTGGGTTTCTGTAGCATCTGGTTACATTTTCATCAACTGATTAATATATTACCTTGTTTCGTGAATTTCTGTTTAAAGACACTTTGTTTAATACATATTGTTGATTAACTACCTTGACTCATGGCCAGAAGCACTATCACTCGTGCCTGAATGAATCTTATCTAACACACCTATTCTCTCCATAAAACGTATTACAGCATTTTTGCACTCAGGAACAGTAGACAGCACTTCAGCACTATACTTGGGAGCCATTTCAAACAGCAAAATCACCAAAAAATACGGCATTGAATAGACTAAAAAAAAGACATGGGAGATATTAACCTGGCCTTAGTTTAGGAGAATGGAAAATATTTAGTATTAGTGAATATCTGATGCCTATATTTTGAATGAATCTTCTTATAAAAGCGTTGGTAGCTGAAAGTAAACTGGGGCTAAAGAAGATGACACATGAAAGGAAATAAATTCAAAATAATTTTTAATGTTCTTCAGATATTCTTGTCTGACACTTGGTTGAGGATCAGTTACAGTTTTTTAATGTAAACTCCATAACTTAAAGAGTAAGAGGTTTCCATAAATACCTAATCCAGACCTTTAAGAATGTTTCGAAGCAACTTCAGTGAAAAATATAATCAATACTTTCAGAAGGAACTGAATAAACTTATTTTTTCAAATGTTGCTGTTTCCAACTAGATCACTATCTAGAAATTCCAATTTTAAAAAGCAAAGATATAAGAAAAGTGGTCTTATTCCTGAATTCTTAATGAAATCTACTTTTTTCAGGAGTGGGAATATTAGTGAGATATTATTAAAGTTTTTAGGGTTAAGTATCACATAAGGGTTTTACCATAATATGTAGTGGCTTTTCTTAGGTACTATCCTTTGAGGAAGTGCTATAATTGAGGTCACAATAAAACAAAGGGCTTTTGGATTTTTTTTTTTAGAATAAAGCAACTAAGCCAGCTTCAATGAGTCCCAAGGAGCTATCATGTTTTTGTTTAAATACCTGCCTGTGAGCTACTTAAGCACATTTTTAAAAGTTGTAATCAATAGACAGAGAATGTTTCCTTTTGTCAAAGCCAGCTTGTAAAACTGCAAGTAACATAGACTGGTTGGTCAGAAGACAAATTGCATGAAGCTCTAACTCTGGTTTATTAGGGCTAAATCTTACTTGTGAATCAGCCATGGTGGTAGAGCAACATTTTGTTCCTAATTGGTGTCTGATAACTATTGCAAAATGAATTAATGAATGGATGAGTGCATCGAC
Organism: Homo sapiens; assembly: GCF_000001405.40. Taxonomy (NCBI): domain Eukaryota; kingdom Metazoa; phylum Chordata; class Mammalia; order Primates; family Hominidae; genus Homo; species Homo sapiens. The sequence goes on from NC_000023.11 coordinate 15,162,087, forward strand.
AATGCCGGGGTAATGGGGAGGCAACAAATAACAATCTCAACAGTCTCACCAATTTCAACCAATAGGAATGTGTCACTAGAGTCACTGCTTCCTTTTATGAGTTTGTCCTTTTCAAAAAAATTCAACAATTTTACCTCTTCATTTTTCTTGTATTGTAGTTGTATTGTATCCTTTCTTAAGTAGATATACCAATAAGCTAGATTCATTTTTATCTGGGTGAAGGATAACTATAAGGGGGGTGTTAAGAATGGGGCCAGGAAATGTTAAACTTCCTTCCTGCAGTTGAAGTGAAAATCTGTGTTGCCAAGTTATCTCAACAAAGTTCATCATGCGTTTAGTAACTATGATATGTCATTAAATGCTAGGATATTCTCCCATTGTACCAATGTTTACTATACCTGTGTAGAATGACACCATTGCCTTATTTCTACAGGGATACAGGCACTCAGGAGAAGAGCTTAAGACAACTCCTTTTTATGAGCCTTTAATCTGCCATAAATCTAATTATAAGACTTAAACCTCATCTTAAAATTTTTCCTATTTCTAAAAAGCTTTTTAGCCATGGTGGATAAAGTACCTTGTGCTTTTCCAATTTGATGGTTAACAATTGAATGGAACTATGAAAGCCAGGAGAATATTATCACTGCTACCACCCATTGATTCAGCAAACATTTGCTAGGCTCCTTGCATGTGATGGGCTGTGAGCTGGTTGCTGGGGATACAGAAGAATAAGCTATGAGCCCTACTCATAAGCACTTTTGGTCTAGTAATCATAAACATCTGTGTAAACAAATAGCTCTATGAAAAAAACATAAACTGTAATAAATACACTTACAATGTATGTACAGTGGGACCCAAAAAAGGCCATCATCAATTCTGCCTAGAAGGTTGAGGAAAGGCTTCAGAGAAGAGATGCAGTTGAACCAAGCCTTGAGTAATGAGTTGTACCAAAGTAGTTAGACCCCTTACAGTGAAGTAGTATTCTTCAAACTTGAGTGATGTAATGATAGAAAAAAAAATGGTTTGGCCTCTCAGAGTCGACACACAGCATTTTTTATTCTAACGATATTTTGAAATGTACATACATTAAACTGAATATACAATCCTTATGCTTTTATTCTATTATAAAATCAAAACAAATTTACGAGTTAAATATGATCAAAGTTACAATGCCAATGGAATCCAAATTAGCTACATTTTATTTAATGCAATGGATGATGTTGTTTTCCTGAAACTAAATTGCTGATGTTGCATCTTCTCTTTCTCTGGCTTATCAAACTAATATGTGCAAAGTAATATCCTCAAAAATAAAATAACATGAAAGAAGTTGTTTTATTCCATGAGGAAAAACTGTAGTTGTTTTCCCTGGAAGAAATCGCTATTTCTAATTTTGTTTCTCTGATAGGTACTTCTATATTTCTCAATAAATTGCTCATACTGATATTTTAATTTATTTATCAACCTTAAGCAATTTTTATTGATTTCTTGATTTTTAGATGTAGACTTAACCGACTTAACTACTACTCACTTCCCCTCAATATTTCACCAAAGATAGTGACAAGAGTGGTCACCTTTGTAACTTAAACAGCATTTTAAACCTCTATGCCTGGGACTATCAAATATAGACTCTTTCTCTTTTCTCCCCATTTTGTTAGACAAGGATACTATTGTCCCATCCTTCCCTCCATGTCTCCTCCTTCCCTTTCATCTTCCAACATCCTGGAAATAGTCAAATATGTCTTTCTTTTGCATAACATTTATATCCTGACTTGTAAGGACCCTTAAGTTGCTTGTGATTTATTTATATATTAATTCTAAAAGTTAAAAACATATAAGATTTGTTAACATTCATTTAACCAAATATTGTTTATTCTAGAACCAAATGATATTCTCTGAGAGCAGACAGCTAGAGGCTGACTATCGAAATCCTAGCTCTGCCTGTATTATCTGTGTAACCCTGGATGAGCAACCTCATTCTGCCTCTGTTACTTCATCTGAAAAATAGGGGAAAATAATTTTAGCTACCTGATAGGGTTCCTATGAATATTTAAGTGATTAGTATATGTAAAATATATAATGCCTACACATAGTAACTTCTCAATAAATATTAGGTTTTATTATAATACATTTGCTTCCTATGGCTTTCAGAGGAGAATGTTTCTAGGGTTAGGTTTGAATAGACTGTCTTCTTTTATGTACTATACTAATGGCCTTTTCTTTATATAATCACCAAACTGTTCCTGTTATCTTTTCTGCTGATTCCCCTCATATATGGACATTTGCTTCTTAGACCCTCCATCTTCCGGTGTGTGTCCTCTCTCCTCCAACTGGGCTGAATGTTCACTAAGTCCACTCAGCTTTGTTATGCTCAGATTTATTTCTCTGTCCCATCACATTGGAGCTTCTTTTTACTTTTGTTTTCTCTTAGATACTCTATTTTCTCTATCTGTTGTCTAACTACTGGCTTATTTTATCCTTTTTAAAAAATAAATACATCTTCAAGTAACTTCCCCCCAGAATATGCATTGGTGTCAAACTTTCTTGCATATCTAAAGTCTTCATTCTGCCCTCATACTGGTTTGTTGTTTTCTCTATTTGTGAAATTTTAGATTAAAGACATTTTCTATCAGAATTTTGAAATTCCTATTTTTAACAGCTTTTAGTGAAGTGACCATGCATCCCAGTTTACCTGTGGTAGTTCCAGTTTACACCTGTTATCCCAAGACCGATCCAGATAAAATGTCCTGGTTTGGGCAATAAATTAATTACATGATCCCTGTAGTGTATAGCATTTGGTGTTACTGATGTAAAGAAGGATGGTGGTTTAATTCTTGTTCTATTCCAAGCAACTTGTATTTGCCTTTGAGAGTGTTTAGACTTTTCTATTTATTCTTGGTGTTCTGGAAAATATCATAAAATATGTAGGGTTTTTTTTATTATGTTGGCTGCTTGGTTTTCTCTTTCACTCTGAAGGCATTTTCTTGTTCAATCTACAGAAAATTGTCTTCCCTAACTCTTTTGAACACCTTCTTCTCGGAATTTTTCTTTATTTTCACTTTCTTTAATTCCTAAGTTTCAACTTAGGTGCTACTTACCAAAACAGGAAATACAAAAAGAGGAATAGATGTATTGAGAGAATCAACTTTAGACAAATGATTTGCCTATGGGACATGTAAGGAGAGACCAAAATGAAATGTTCTCTACTTAGAAAAGATGTCCTCTCCCTTTATCTACAATTCTTTAAGAAATGAGAGTATGTCTTACTCATAGTTTTGTTGATAAAAAAAAAATTCACTTTGGAAATTATTTGGGAAAGGTTTATTAATCAAAAATCCTTGAGTTAAAATATGATTTCTTTATTATGCCAAAGGTTTCAGTGCAGGTTAACATGTTCCAATCCCTATAATAATCTGATAACCTGATAGACAGGGAAGGATTAATGCTGATTCTAATGGCACAAAACTGGCAGTCTCATGAAAAGGACTAAATAAGATGTTTAAAAAGCACATTGCTTTTGTCCTTTTTCTTTCTTTCACTAGTTTTTTCCTTCTTAATCACATTACAAAAACATTTCAGCCCTCACATTTCAGAGTAAGTTGCAAGACTTGGAGTATGGTACAAAAACACTCCAACGACAGAAGATATTTCCAGTTGATTATGCTACTTGAAAAAGTGAAGAGGCTGAGAATATGAAATATTAAACTGCCTCTCCTGAAACTCTTCTGGAATTCTGTGGCCACCACTGCACAAAATGTTCCCTTATGGTATAGCAAATTGGAGCCTTAGGGATGCCAGTTGTTGTTCCGTTCATTTAAGCATTTAGGCCACAGGCATTTTAAGAGGGCTCCTAAGGGATTTTCGTTAGTTCCTTCCCACCGTCATTTCTTTGGCATGGTTGATATGGTTTGCCTCTGTGTCTCCACCCAAATCTTATCTGAAATTGTAATCCCCACATGTCAAGGGAGGCACCTGGTGAGAGGTGATTGGATCATGGCTGTGGATTTCCCTCATGCTGCTCTGGTGATAGTGAGTTCTCATGACATCTGATGGTTTAAAAGTGTGTGGCTTTCTCTCTCTCTCTTTCTCTTTCTCTCTTGTTTTGCCATGGTAAGACATACTTGCTTCCCCTTCGCCTTCCACCATGATTGTAAGTTTCCTGAGGCTTCCCCAGCGATGCAGAACTGTGAGTCAATTAAACCTCTTTTCTTTATAAATTACCGAGTCTTAGGTAGTTCTTTATAGCAGTGTGAAAATGAACTAATACAATGGTGTTGGCAGATATACATGTTAAAGTATTTAAGCAGTCTCCAATCTGGCAAAGGAATCTATGGGCATTGGGAGGCCCTAAAGAATGAACCGATCCAAGAGATTGTTGAGACTTAGGAGTGGGATACTGATAACAGAAAATCATTTATCTTGCATGAAACAGAACTGCTGAGACACAAAAGAGATTTAGAAATCAAAATGGTACCTGAAGAAATATGATTTCCTTTTTGTGATTGAAAGACATCTTATCATACACCCCAAATTATCAGGAATGTTATCAACACTGATGAATTGCCTAGACACCCCCAGCTGTTGGGAGTGCTATCGGCTGTCAGCCCTCACTGGGGACTATCTCAGCTAAATCTAGCTGACTAAATCAAGCCCATGCATTTTTTTCCAGGGCAATCTCATTCAATGATAATTGACCCAGGATGCATAAAGACTCAGACCCTGGGCTTATCCCTGGACAATTTTGAAGGAACATCCAGCTCCAAAGTTCCTGTGGATTGCTAATGGGACTACATTCCAGCTCAACTTCTCCCTAGCCCAATCCTGCTTCCTTCTATAGGTGTTGGAAGGTATCCAAACACTCCCTAATAAATACCTCAGACTTCAACTTCAAGTTCCATTCTATATCATCTCCAAGTTTGCTTCTCAGGCAACCCAACTTATAACAAAGGTGAAGAGCTTAAAGTGAAAGTGCTTTGCCAAAAGGCATAATTATACCTCCAAGTCTATGGGAGCAGCCTCTTTATGTTTGCACAGTGTTTCAAAGTTTATATCTCATTGGAGTTTTTGGTCCATTCTGTGAGTTGAGGACAATTTTATCTCCAATTTAAAGATCAGAAATTTGAGTTTCAGAAAAGTTCCATGACCCGTAGTACACGGCTCAATTTACTAAATCATTGGTAGAATCCTAATAATGATGGTGTAGAGTGGCCTTAAGTTTGGGTACTGCTAAACTTGACTGTTACTTCCTGTATGAGTTCCACTGCCACCAAAACAAATTACCACAAATCTAGTGGCTTACAAGAACACAAATTTATTATCTTACAGTTCTGTAGGTCAGAAGTCCTTGAAGGCTTAGCTGGTTTCTCAGCTTCATGTTTAACAGGCCCAAAATCAAGCTGTTGGCTGGCTGAGCTCTTATTAAGAGGCTCTGGGAAATACCAGTTTCCAGAGTTATTCAAGTTTTCACATCCTTGTGATTGTAGGACTGAGGTTCCCATTTCCTTTCTTGCTATCAACCAGGGTTTTTGCTCCTAGAGGCTGCCCATGTTCCTTCTTATTCTATGTGGCCCCCTCCTCCAGCATAAGCCAGTCAAGTTCTTTTTATGGCTCAAATCTTTCCAATTTTGTTTCTGTTGCATCTCTCTGAAGGCCTAATCTGCGTTTCTCTTTTGTTTCATCTCTCTTCTAACTTCAGCTGGAGAAAATTC